>NT_167244.2:957964-964446 GCF_000001405.40 Homo sapiens
GGCCAGGCTGGTCTTGAATTCCTGATCTCAGGTGATCTGCCTGCCTCAGCCTCCCAAAGCGCTGGGATTAGTCGTGAGCCACCTCGCCCGGCCTAGTCCCTTCTTTCAAATTTCATCACCACTCTTTGCTTGTTTTTCTTTTTTTTCTTTTCTTTTCTTTTTTTTTTTTTTTTTGAGACAGAATCTCGCTCTGTCAGCCAGGCTGGAGTGCAGTGGCACGATCTCGGCTCACTGCAAGCTCCGCCTCCCAGGTTGAAGCGATTCTCCTGCCTCAGCCTCCTGAGCAGCTGGGACTACAGGTGCGTGCCACCATGCCCAGCTAATTTTTGTATTTTTAATAGAGGTGGAGTTTCTCCATACTGGCCGGGCTGGTCTCTAACTCCTGATCTCGTGATCCGCCCACCTCAGCCTCCCAAAGAGCTAGGATTACAGGTGTGAGTCACCGCGCCCGGCCGCAATTTTTTTTTTTTTTTTTTTTGAGAAGGAGTCTGGCTCTTGTTGCCCAGGCTAGAGTGCAATGGCGCCATATTGTAGCAGGACGAGCCGCAGACAAAACTCCTCAGACACCGAGTTAAAGAAGGAATGGGTTTATTCGGCCGGGGGCATCGGCAAGACTCCTGTCTCAGGAGCCGAGCTCCCCCAGTGAGCAATTTCTGTCCCTTTTAAGGGATCACAACTCTAAGGGGGTGCGCTTGAGAGGGCCGTGATCGATTGAGCAAGCAGGGGTTATGTGACTAGGGGCTGCATGTCCCAGTAATTAGATCGGAACAAACAGGATAGGGATTTTCACAGTGCTTTTTTTTTTTTTTTTTTTTTTTTTTTTTTTTTTTGAGACGGAGTCTCGCTCCGTGGTCCAGGCTGGCGTGCAGTGGCGCGATCTCGGCTCACTGCAAGCTCCGCCTCCCGGGTTCTCGCCATTCTCCTTCCTGCCTCAGCTTCGCGAGTAGCTGGGACTACAGGCGCCTGCAACCACGCCCGGCTAATTTTTTGTATTTTTAGTAGAGACGGGGTTTCACTGTGTTACCCAGGACAGTATCGATCTCCTGACCTCGTGATCCACCCACCTTAGCCTCCCAAAGTACTGGGATTACAGGCGTGACCCACCGTGCCCGGCCTGAAAAATCCACTGTTAGACTGATGGAATTTCCTATATAGGTTTTTAGGACACTTTTTCTCTTCTCTTGCTCATTTTAAGATTTTTTTTCCTTTACATTGAGTTTAGATTGTCTGATGACTATTTGTCTTGGTGAAGTCCATCTTGCAATGTATTTTCCAGGAGTTCTCTAAGTATCTTCTATCTGGATTTTAAATCTCTAGCCAGGGTTAGGGAAGTTTTCCTCAATTATTTCCTCAAGTAGATTTTCCACACTTTTTACCCTTCATTCTCCCTTAGGAATACCTATGATTCATGGGTTCAGATGTTTTACATAACCCCATACTTCCTGAAGGCTTTGTTCATATTTTAATTCTCTTTTCTTTCTTTTTGTCTGACTGGGTTAATTTGAAAGACCTGTCTTCAAGCTCTGAAATTCTTTCTTCTGCTTGGTCTAGTCTATTGTTAAAGCTTTCAGCTGCATTTGGAACTACTTTGATGAATTTTTTATTTCCAGGTGGTTTAATTTTTTTTTTTTTTTTTTTCTTTTGAGAAGGAGTCGCGCTCTGTCGCCCAGGCTGGAGTGCAGTGGCGCAATCTCGGCTCACTGCAAGCTCCGCCTCCCGGGTTCAGACCATTCTCCTGCCTCAGCCTCCTGAGTAGCTGGGACTACAGGCGCCTGCAACCAGGCCTGGCTAATTTTTTGTATTTTGAGTAGAGACGAGGTTTCACTGTGTTAGCCAGGATGGTCTAGATCTCCTGGCCTCGTGATCTGCCCGCCTCAGCCTCCCAAAATGCTGGGATTACAGGCGTGAGCCACCGCGCCCAGCCCAGGTGGTTTACTTTTTTAAAAATATTTTTCTCTTGGTAAATTTTTTATTCATATGCTGAATTGATTTTTTACATTTCTTTGTGTTGTTTTCAACTTTCTCTTGGATTTCATTGAGCTTCTTTATAATCATTATTTTGAATTATTTATTTGGTATTTCAAAGATTTTATTTTTGTTAGGATCTATTGCTAGAAAGTTAGTGTAATGTTTTGGGGATGTCATAACACTCTATTTTTTCAGAGTATGTTTTCAAAACATTCTACTGTTTTCAACAGAGAAACAAAGGACTTACTTAAAAAATAGAAAACATAGAGAGTTCCAGAATCATTTCTTTGGTTCCTTCTCATCTGTAGAAACTTTCTCTTCTTATTTTTGAATTTATTTCATTTGGGCAGGATTTTTTTTTCCCTTTACAATGTGACTATAATGTATGTTGTTTAAGGTCCTTTGCATTTGGTTGTGAATGCTTTCAGTGGCAAAGACTCTGTAGTTGTCCCCTGGTTATAGATAGCCTTTGTATGGTGGCTTTCTCAAATGCCAGTTGTGGTGGTGATGTACTGGGAGTGTGAACAGGCTCACAGCCTCCTGCAGGGCCAGGATGGCAGAGGTTTAAGAAGTTTATCTCATTTCCTCTTTTGGAAGAGATGAGAAGTTTATTTCCACTCATGTGCCCTTTTGTCAACTGATTTGTATTGAGGTGCGTGGTTCAGCCTCCAGAACAGTAGGTGGGCTTATGCCTAAAAGCCTATGTGGCAGAAGCACGTGAGTATATGCTTCATCATTGTATACCTAGAAAAGTTCTCTGTTGCCTCAGGAAATGTGCTGGTAAGTGGAATGTACAGCAGCCTGGGCTCCCTGCTCAGCACCAGAGAGGGGGACATAGCTGAGTAGAGCTGGATCCCCAAGCCTGCCCCACAATGGTGAGCACAGGCAGCAGCTTTCAGGCAGGAGTGGTGGCATGGGAAACTTCTGGTGAAACGTGCCTAGGTCTCCACAGATGAGGAGAGGGCTGCCCCAGCTTCATGACCTGGCCAGGCAGGAATGCCATCCATTTCCCTGTCATTCCCTAGTCCTGGCATCAGGGAAACTCAAATTGACCAGACACTACTCTCTATCTCCAACTGCAATGTAGTTGAGACTCATTAAAGATGTCTTCTCCTCAGCTCACCATTTAAATGTCTTTGGTGCAGAGCATCCTCCCTCAACCCCAAACACATAGCTTTTCTTTTTCTTTTTTTTTTTTGAGATGGAGTTTTGCTCTTGTTGCCCAGGCTGGAGTGCAATGGCGTGATCTCAGCTCACCGCAACCTCCACCTCCCAGGTTCAAGCAATTCTCCTGCCTCAGCCTCTTGAGTACCTGGGATTACAGGCATGCGCCACCACGCCTGGCTAATTGTTTTTGTAGTTTTAGTAGAGACAGGGTTTCTCCATGTTGGTCAGGCTGGTCTTGAACTCCTGACCTCAGATGATCCGCCCACCTCGGCCTCCCAAAGTGCTGGGATTACAGGCGTGAGCCACCGCGCCTGGCCTGCACATAGCTTTTCAGCTTTCCTGCTCTCCACTGCAGGAATGCTAGCACTCCCTGTAGAGAGGGGAAAGGGCCCTGTCTTTCACACAAGCCTGGCCCAAATGGCCACACTGCCAGTGGAAACACAGTCACCCCTGATAGCCCTAGAAAGGCTCTTCTCTGGCACACGTGCCAATTTCCCATGGGAGTGGCCATGCTGTGTTTGAAGCAGTGGTGGATGGGGGAAGGGCAGGAGAATTTCCCCTTTCCATGCCTGATTCTAAGCACTGGGGCTGCTTGGCTGCTGGGATGGAACTACACTCCTTCAGCGCAGAGCTGAACACAGTGTCCACGACTCTGCTGGAAGTGGTGCAGTCACTCAGCCCACAAACAAGGAGCTCTTGGACACAGATGAGTACATGGCCTGGCCTCCTTTGTCCCAACTGGTACTTTTTTTGTGTACTGCAGTCTCCCTTTCCTTAGGAGCAGCAATCCCTGATGGCTAGACCACTGGGAACCCTGCAGCTCCACTGGGTCCAGCCAGCCCTGTGTGGCTGCCACAATCCAAGTGGGCACTGGGGGCATGGCTGCAGGAGCTTCTGTGATGTGAATATACAAAGGTTGGGGTTCCCTGGGAAGGACACAGTCCCCTGATGGCTACACTCCTAATATGGCACCCTGCCAACACTGCCCGAGTCTGGAGGAGGGACAGGTGACCCAGCGCAAGTTGGTTGTCTGGTGTGATGCCCTCCAGAAGTTCCCAAATCGCCATGCACATCAGTGTTTGGCTTTGTGAGGGCAGAGGAGCTCTCCGACAGTTCAGATACTGGTGGTCTTCCTTAGGGACGACGGGAGTCAAAACACTCCTATCTTACCTTTCAATGAAATACCAAGTCTCTCAAGGTTCCTAGCTGATTTCTGCCAGCTTCTTACTTTCTTCTTTTTTTCTGTCTCAGCTTTTCCCCATGAGTTCTGAAACATTCTGACGTGATTCTGACAGCTATTTCCACACTCAGGCTGGGCCCTGGAGGAGTGCCCTCTGCTGGTTCTCTGAGACCTGTGGCTGGGATCATCTCTGATAAGGTTTGGGTGTTTGTCCCCTCCAAATCTCATGTTGAAAGATCTCCAGTGTTGGAGCTGGGGCCTAGTGGGAGGCGTTTGGGTCATGGGAGCGGTTCTCTCATGAGTGGCTTAGTACTCTGCCCATGGTAATGAGTGAGCTTTCACTCTATTCGTTCACACGAGAGCTGATTATTTAAAAGAGCCTAGCAGCTCTCTTGCTCCTTCTCTCTCCATATGACACACCTACTCTTCCTTTGCCTTCTGCCACAAGTAAAAGCTTCCTGAGACTTCACCAGAATCCTAGTGGAGCTGGCCCCATGATTGTACAGCCTGCAGAACTGTGAGCCAAATAAATCTCTTTTCTTTATAAATTACTTAAACCCAGGTATTCCTTTACAACAACGCAAATGGACTAATACAGTCTCCCTCTGCTGCCTCCAAGGTCACTCCTTGATCTTCACTGCTTTAGGCAGCCTTTTACCCTACTTTGTAGTTGGAGCTTCAGGGGCTTAACATCTTAAAAGTTTTATTTTTTTTTTTAATTTATGCTTTTTAAAAAATTTTTTTTGAGATGGAGTTTTGCTCTTGTTGCCCAGGCTGGAGTGCAATGGTGTGATCTCGGCTCACCGCAACCTCTGCCTCCTGGGTTCAAGCGATTCTCCTGCCTCAGCCTCCCAAGTAGGTGGGATTACAGGCGCGCGACACCATGCTCGGCTAATTTTTGTTGTTTTAGTAGAAACAGGGTTTCACCATGTTGGTCAGGCTGGTCTCGAACTCCCGACCTCATGATCCGCCCGCCTTGGCCTCCCAAAATGCTGGGATTACAGGCATGAACCACCGCACCCAGCCAAACGATTTTTAAAAAATAATTACTATGTATAAAATAACAAATAGGTAATTTGGGTAATTTTATTTTGAACTCTTTGGCTAAATATTTTATGTACATATTGTCTCAGCAATCAGGAATTAAAATTTATAAACACTATTAACAAGCAATACTCTCTGATTTGAAGGAGAATCTAATTTGGAAGTCAGTCACATGATGATTGTGTTTTTAAGTTTTTTTTTCCATGCATTTGTTATTTTATGAATTGGTCTGAATGATGAGGCCAGGCAAGTGTATACATCTTTTCACTGGTAGAAAAATCTGTAGCAAAGCCTGTGCCCTTTTTACAACAATGACTTTTTTTTTTTTTTTTTTTTTTTTGAGATGAAGTCTCACTCTTGTGGCCCAGGCTGGAGTGCAATGGTGCTATCTGGGCTCACTGCAACCTCCATCTCCTGCCTCAACCTCCCGAGTAGCTGGGATTACAGGCGCCCATCAACACGCCCGGCTAATTTTTGTATTTTTGGTAGAGGCGGGGTTTCACCATGTTGGCCAGGCTGGTCTTGAACCCCTGACCTCAGGTGATCCACCCGCCTCGGCCTCCCAAAGTGCTGGGATTACAGGCATGAGCAACCACACCCAGCCTGGATTTTGACAAATGTATAGAATCATATATCCACTACCCTAGTACCATCTACAACAGTTCCTTCATCCTAAAAATTTCCCTTTGAATGTTCTTTATCCCTTCTCCCTCCAACCTTCGATAACCATTAACCTGTTTTCTGTCCCCATAGATCTGCTTTTTCCAGAATGGTATATGAATTGAGTCAGATAAAATGAAGCCTTTTGTGTCTGACATTTTTTTCACCTAGTAAAACGCATTTAAGATTAATTGATGTATGGATTAATAGCTTATTTACATATATATATATATATATATATATATATATTTTTTTTTTTTTTTTTTTTTTTTGAGACAGAGTTTTGCCCTTGTTGCCCAGGCTGGAGTGCAATGGCGCGATATTAGCTCGCTGCAACCTCCGCCTCCCAGGTTCAAATGATTCTTCTGCCTCAGCTTCCTGAGTAGCTGGGATTACAGGCATGCGCCACCACTCCCGGCTAATTTTGTATTTTTAGTAGAGACAGGGTTTCTTCATGTTGGCC
>NT_167244.2:1248612-1358035 GCF_000001405.40 Homo sapiens
GGCCAGCAGGTGTGTGAAAAACACCCAACATCACTAAATACCAGGAAAATGAAAATCAAACTACAATGAGATATATCTTACCCTAACCCTAGTTAAGATGGCTATTATTAAAAAATAAAAAATAATAGCTGTTGGTGAGCATGTGGAGAAAGGGGAATGTTATACACTGTTGGTGGTCATGTAAATTAGTGCAGCCATTATGGGAAACAGTAGAGTGATCTCTCAAAAAAACTGAAACTATTAATAGAACTACTATCTGATGCAACAATTCTACTTCTGAGTATTTATCCAAAGGAAATGAAGTCAATATATCAAAAGAGTACCTGCACACCCATGTTTATTGAAGCACTATTCACAATAGCAAAGATGTGAAATCAATGGTGAATTTATCAATGGGTGAATGAATAAAGTAACTGTAGTATATACACAATGGAATGCAATTCAGCCATAAAAAAAGAGTGAAATCCTGTCAGTTGCAGCAACATGGATGGAACCAGAGGTCATGTTAGGTGAAATGAGCCAGGCAAGGAAACACAAATATCACATGTTGTCACTCACATGTGTGAGCTAAAGACGTTAATCTCATGGAGGTTGAGAGTAGAATGAAAATTACCAGAGGTTGGGAAGAATGTAGGGGTGGGAAGATGTAGAGAGGTAGATTAATGGGTACAAATGTACAGTTATATAAAAAAAAAAAGTTCTAATGTTCTATAGCACAGCAGGCCAACTAAAGCTAACAATTATGTATATTTAAAACAGCTAGAAGAGTGGATTTTAAATGTTCCCAACACAAGGAAATGATACATGCTTGAGGTGATGGATTCCCTAAACACCCTGACTTGATTATTCCACATTCTGTGTATGTATCAAATGATCACATGTGCCCCATAAACATATAAAATGTTATGTATTACCTTTAAAAAATATTTTTAAAATAAACTCAACACAATATGGGACATTTTAAAAAGTACAAAAATATGACCATGATAAAAATTGGCAAATATTTCCTTTTTATTAAGATCCACTTTGTAAGTTCAAGCAGAATGAAGCCCATACAGCATCAGAAGAAGTGGCTCTCCTGAGAGAATCTTCTCCCCAGTTAGAAAGGCAGAAACAGAATTCCTGGAGAAAGTAAGACTCTGGAGAACTGCATAGCACCTCTTCTTGGGGTCTGGGGTTACCCAGATGTAGGGAGGGTTCACCTTCTGGGAAAAACTAAACGTTGGTTCTTGTTCTTTTTTGTTCTTATTGCAAGACCAAAAATTGAGAAAACCAAGAGAAAGCACCAAGCCAAAGGGATATACTCTCTTTTATTTTTTAGAATATCCACTACCAAGGATGATCCACGCTGTTATGAGACGAATTGTGTCCCTCCCCAACCGAAATTCATATGTTGGAGTCCTATGTTGAGAAGACAGAAGTGGCCATCTACAAGCCAAGGAGAGAGGCCTCAGGAAAAAGCAACCCTGCAGCACCTTGACCTGCACCTGTAGCCTCCAGAACTGTGAGACAATACATATTTATTATTTTACTCACCCAGCATGTGGTACTTTGTTATGGTAGCCCTAGCAAATTAAAACAGAAATATTACCTTTTCTACTCTGTCCTATGTATGAACATGAGACTTTTTAAGAATATGAATTACCTGGGATTCCAAAACATAGAGTGAGTCAATGGAAAATAGATGATACAGGGTCATTTCCAAGCCTTTGTGGGTCTCCTGGCCACCACACAAACATGGATGTGTTCCCATTTCTTTTCAGTTTCACACAGTGCAAAAGTTGTGGACATAGAATCACAAACTGTGTTTAATTTATTTGAGACATTGAGTGAGCTAGTTTTGCCCTAATTTTATAGAAAGATGATGAACAATCATAATTACTAAACCAAAGAGGCTTTTTGGCAGGGGATGGCAGGTACTATGTTTTCTCCTCCTTTTAAAGTGCATTTTCCTAAAGAGTCTTGTCTAGGAGTAAATGTCATCACTTTGCTTTTTTCCTCCGCATTGATCACTTGGTCCTCCCTGCATTTCAGTAAGGTTGCTAGAATGGAGGCATTTGTCCATGATTCACAGATGAATCAGAGGCCCTATGAGTAGAGAGCTTCTCCTGAAGTCACACAGCTCGTGAGTGGTGGAGCAATGACAGGCACATGACTCTCCAGGTCCCTAGTCCAGTTTTCTGGGTGCCATGAGAATTACAGCCTTTGGTTCCTTTTACATGTAGTTCATTTCTGAACCTGAGAAGGAGAATGCACCTCAGGTGACTAACAGTTTTTGCTCTTCTGTACTTGTCTGAGAATGACCCCAAAAGATTTTTAAAGGCCAATTCTTTGGCTACCAACCCTATTTTGCCCAGGCATGGACATGGAGCAGGTGAACACTGCCTTTACCTGTGACATGCCTGAAGATTCTGAGACCTACGTGAATCAGGTAAGCTCCATACACAGAGGGACACCCACTCTCCCACCCACTTATTTTCTGTATCTTTTCACACTTCACTTCTTCATTCCTCCCTCTGGCTGTCTTCCCTCTTTGGGGTCTTCTAGTCCTAACCTCTGTCTCCTTCCAGGTGACTAGAGCAGGCTGGTTTGGAACGGGGCTTGTGTCGGATGAGAATTGTGCCAGGATCCTCAGTGATGGGCAGCATCACTTTAAGTTCAGTGTTAGGAGCTACCTGCTGAGACAGACGTCTCCTCCACAGTGAGTGCTGATTTCATGAAACCCTTAGTTCCTCCCTATTCCTTACTGTGTCTTCAATCCCATCATGTAGGTCATGGGCACTTAACGCATAATGAACAATTGACTGCTTCATGCCCCCTGGCCGTTGATGCTGTGTTGGGACGTTTTGCTGCCCTCTATGTGGGGTCTGTGCCTTTTCTCATATTACATCTCTTCCACCACGCCCAAGTCCATCCTCTGAACCCAGGCAGTACACCAGCATCTGCATGTGTGCTGTGTGTTCCTGCCTTGCTTTGTCCTTTCATGCCTTATTCTCACTGTGCCATGTCTCCTTCTCAGTTGAACAGATGCAGTAGGAGACTCGCTCATTCTGGAATGTGACCATCTGCCCTTCAGGAGAGGACAGCAGGGTGTGGGTGAAGGAGACCCTGCTGCCCCCACACCTGACAGCCTCCACCACCCCCTGGCTTTCCTCTTCTGCATCAGCACCACTCCCGAACCATCATTCCTGATCGTCAGAATTTTTAATGTAACTAAACATGAAACACAAGTGCATCTGCATTATGTGTGGGTGCTCTCTCCCTTTATTGTATTTGGGGTAAGATTATTTTAGGGCATGGTCCAGGGTAAATTCCTGTAAGGCCTGGATGCCCTGCTGTGAGGTCAAAGGGGGACGGACTGCAGAGCCCTGGCTCCCCAACTACCTGCCTATTTCCGGCCCTTTGTTGGGGTCTCTTCTGCTTTATCTGGCCTGAGAGAGGCTGGGATGTTTCTGATCCTGGGGCTCCTGGTGGATGGTGCGCAGTATTTCCAGGGATGGAGGGTGCTGTGGGCACTGGTGGGAAGCTTGAGTGTCTCCACCCAGGCTTTCTTGGTGCCTCCTCATCTATTCCTTCAAATTCTAGACCTTGAGCACCAGGGCCTGGGCCCCTGACCCCCTCCTGCCCTTCCAGCAGGGCCTGGTCCAGCTCCAGCAACTCCTCAGCTTGGGCCAGCTCAGCTGTGTTGGGGGCTCATGGCCCTGGTGAGGGGGAGTGGTGGAGGGAGCATCAGCCAGGGCAGGGGGCTGAGGCCCTTGGAACCTGTATTGCAGGGTCTGGCTGTAAATGAGGAATTCTACCTCCCTTTCCCTTTTTCTAGCCCATTAGCTTAAGGCCTCCTGTACTGAGAAGCCCAGGGAGCCCCTTGTCTTGGGCATAGGCCTCTGGGGGGCAAATAGAGATCCCTGGCTCAGGGAGTATAACTGGATACCTTGAACAAGGATATGGGGTCACTGGAAAGAGAGGACCGGCTGTCCCTCTCCGCTAAGAAATAATTAACTGTTAGATGAGGGGGAATTTCTGTTCAAGGGCTCTGTGGACTGTGCTGCTCTGGAGGGGGTGGGGAGAGAGAGCCCTGAGGTCTGAGCTGGGGTGTGGTTGGGAAGGAGCTGAGAGCTCAGAGCTGGAACTAGGCAAGGAGCTGCAGGGGTGAGGGTGGTGCAGGGTGGGATTTAGAGGATTTCCCCTGACTCCTGTGCTGATCCCCTTCACGTCCTCCACCCCCACCCTTGGTGTCCGTCAACATGCTGGGGTGACCTCATCTTCCCACTGTCCCTGGAGCTGTTCTACTCTTCCACGCTTGCCTTGGGGTTTTCAGAGCAGCATCTTTGTGAGTCCTGGAGAGCTAGGGACCAGGAGGGCAGGAGGAGGTGAAGACAACAGCACCGAGAGATCCTGGAAGAGAAAGGACCATGGTAGCTGAGGCAGGGAGCAGTCTGAGTTGCCTAGAAGACACCAAGAGTTCGCTCCCTCCAGGCCTTGGCTTTGCTTCAGCACCTGGTGCTGCATAGGCCCCACCCCTGCCCTGCTCTGCTGCCTCCACCTCCCTCTCAGCCTGGTCCCAGACAGAATCCAGACCAATTCCTGTTTCTGATGTGAAAAATGATCCTGCCAGTTTAGGCAGAGCTTGCTTTAGAGCACTGGTGCCCAGCCTTCCACAGGTCTTGTGTCTGTTTTTCTTGGCACTGGGTTTCTTCTCACTTATTCTTCTGAATTGGCAAGGCAGGAATTACATCACTAGTTTGCAGATGAGGAAACTGACTCGTATGGGCTCATTCAGCACTCACTCACTGGGCAAGTGTCTGTCAGGGCCAACTGTGGGCCAGATGTGCCCAGGGCTCTATAGCTAGCTGGTGGAAGGGCCTGGAGGGTTCATATTCAGGTCCACCTGACTTGAAAACTCATATTGACCTTACTTAAGTACTGATTCCCGATTTACAATCCATGCCACAAACTTTATTGTCATATCTAAAGAAGTTGCCACAGCAGCCTTTAGCAACCACCCTCCTGATCAGCCAATAGTCAACACTGAGGCAAGACCCTCCCCCAGCAAAAAGATTAGCAAAACCTCCACACCCTCTCTCAGGATGTTCCTGCACCTCACAGCTACAGCAGCAACCTGGTCTCCCTGAGGACACGACCCCCTCCAAAGTCCTCCCACATGGGGGAGTTTTCCCAGGGACTTGTACCCCTGGGTTCAGAGGTGAGGTGGGGTCCTTGCTCCTCACTGTGGTTCTCACACCTTTCTCCCTCCCTCCTCCCTAAACCCCTAAGCTGTCAGCAGATTAGGGCCCCATTCCCCATGTTGTAGCCATTCCCTTTGTGCCCCAAGCCATTCCTCTTAATCCTGACCCTTGTAGCTCCTGGTTCACTGTCACCCTCTCCAGCAGTGCGTCTCCTTGACTCTTGGTGACTTCAACATACGCAGATGTGGTGGGCTGAGTAATGGTCCCCAAAGATGTCCAGGCTTAATCGTTGGAACATGTGAATAGGTTGCATTGCATGGCAAAAGGGACATTAATCATGTAATGAAGATTAAGGACCTTAAAATAGGGAGAGTATCCTGGACTATCTGCGTGGGCCCAATCAAATCACATGAGCCATTAAAAGCAGAGAAACTGCCCTGGCTGGAGTCAGATTCTGCAGAAGAGGAAACAGAGGAGAAGCTGGAGAGAGGAGGTCAGACGTTCCAAGCAGGAGGACTGGATGTGCCTTAGGCGCCATGTGTGAGTACCTGAGAGAAAACTCTAGGAGCTAAGGGTGGCTCTTAACAAGGAAGTGGAAATCTCTGTTCTATCTGCAAGGAAGTGAATTCAGACAAGAACTTGAATGAGCTTGGAAGTGGATTCTTCCCCAGTCTCCAGGAAGGAATGCAGGCCTTCCCGTACATTGATCTTAGCCCCATGAGACTGTGTGGACTTGCAACCCACATGACTGTGACATGATAATTAGGTGCTGTTTAAAGCCACTTGGTTTGTGGTAATTTTTATGGCAGCAACAGACACCTATACAGCAGAGAAGATGCCCTTGCTCCCTGGACTCTCAGATCCTGTAACTCCTCTCCTCCATGACCTTCTCCTCTCTCTGCCTGAATCTCATGCCCTTGTCATCCCCTAGGCCTCATCACGGCCAAGAACCCCAGCCCTTCCATACTCTCAATCTCACACTTCCCACTCTCTGGCCATCTTTCCACTCATCCCCTTGCAAGGTGGCCACAGGCTCTGATGACACAGACACTATCATTTTATCATATGCTGTGATGTAATATCAATGAACCACTCATTTCCTATGTGCCTGCATTCCAGGCTTGGAGTCCACCCTGTGGTACATCAATTCCAACAATCCTTCCAGCCCACTGGGATTCCCAATTGAGTGATCCTGCCATCTACTCCCTGTCACTCACCCTTGGTGTCCTCTCCTCCCTCTTCTCCCATTTTGAATTCTACAGTAAATAATTTCAATCCCTCCCTTGCCTCTCCCTTGCATTGTCATACTCACCTGGCAAAACTACACAGCTGGTGGGTTCCACCTCTGTCTATGCTGCACCTGCCCCATGAGCTGCAGGAGGCTGGACAGCAGCACACAACATGCTGACTGGTCTCTTTAAGATTCCAAACCTCATGGGGAGCCCCTACCATTGACGTGGCCAGCAATCACCCTCTCCCTACGTGGTTCACCCTCAGCCTCCTCTTGGCCTGGGTGACTCCTAGACACCTTCTCTCTGTGCTCACACATCCAACCCTTCTTCCCCATTCTTACCTCAGCTGACAACCTTGCCTCCTACCTCACTGAGAAAACTGAACACATTAGAAGACAACTTCCCCGATTCCACCACTGTCTGCTCATGCATTTGCAGCTGCACCACATGTCAGGCATTTTACCACGGGAGGGATTGCTGGGGGTTAACAATTCTGCTCCCAGTCAGAGCCAGTCCCTCTTCTGGTGCCCCAAACATCATCCCTTCTCATCTACTTAAAGTTGTCAGTTCATCAACTAGTATCTTTTTTTATCTTTATCATCAACTTTTTCCCTCTCTCCCCACTGGATCATTGTGGCAGTCATGAGAATGCACATCCCAGCCCCTCAGCTACAGGAAGCAGAATCGATGATGACCCCAGCTCTTGAAGCTTGAAATCTATTGCCACATTTGCTCTGATCCCACACCTGCCCCCTGATCTTTTCCAGCCAATGATTGAGGAAAGCAGGGCAGAAACTAAGGCAGGAATATTTCTCCTCTGAAGGCTGACTGCAGCCCCAGGGCTCCCTGCCTCCTTTACTAAATTTCCCTTAGCCTGCACAGGGTCTAGGATGCTTCCAGCTGAACTTCCTGCCCTCTCTCCTTCACTGGGGCTCAGAGTTGCAGTGTGGTCTGATGGCTCTCCCAGTGTTTTCTGTCTCTCTCCTGAATTTCTCTCACAAGTATTTCCCTGAATAAATCCTTGCACATTTACTACCGTATTGGGCTCTGCTCCTCAGGGGACCCTAACTAACCCAAGCGGTATGAAGGGTGACCCATGAAAACAGGCAAAAATGGGAATTTGAAATAATCTTGCCCACTGCCTGGCAGGCCAAGAGGATGCCACCCGGGTTGGTGGGGGACACAGAAAGTCCATGGCATAAGGTGCAGCTGAGGTGCTGTGGTCTCCTCAGTGCTGAGCTGAGAAGATGCCCTGGTTAGGGGAAGCTATGGCAGGTGAGGTGATAGAATGCCCTACACAATAATGATGAGGTTGGGGGAAACCTACAAAGACAGAGGAGTTGGGTGGTTACTGCTTGGCTGCGTTGATACCCTATAAAAGGATCATGAGAATCTGCGGGTTGTTAACAGCTGTCACTGGCTACAGGTGACAGCCTCTGCAGTGTCTCATGGAGAGGCCTTTATCTCCTGTAGCGAAAGGGCAGATAGCGTGGAATGGCAGCTGAAGACATCATTACGAGGGCCACAGTGCTCCAGACATGTCTGACACTCAGCCAAAGCAGGCCTGTTACAGGAAAGTCAGGGTCCTGGTGGGGAAACCTGAGATTCTGGAAACTGGAACCAGGATATCCGATGGGTGCCCTCCAGGACCCTCTGGGAATGCAGAGGAGGCTCACCATTATCTAATAATGATTCCCACTTCCTACGCTGGAAGATGCTGCAAAAGCCTCACCCCCGTGATTCTGCGGGAATCCTACTCAGCAGCTTTGCAGGAATTAGCCGCCATTTCCCCACAGGAGCCCAAGGAGCACTTCTGGGATTGGAATTTGAGGGCGTTTGATCAAGAAACCAGAATTTCAGGCTGGATGAATAAAAATCCTTTGGCTTGGAGGCACTTTCTCAAGGCATGGGTTTGTCAAACACCCCAGGACTTTGATAAGTGGAGCTAAACCCACCGCTGGGGTGAATCCATATAGATTGGAAAAAAAGATGCCCAACTCTCAACAAGGTAGACATGTCTTAGTTGCCCTGGTACATGTAAAGGAAGGAATAACGAGGCTGAGGGAAGTGGGCATGGTGAAGGCCCACCAGGGCCATGCTCCACAAGAGGGCCCAGAGGACACAACCTTCCACCAGAGCCTCAGGAACATGATGGTGAAAGGGACCTGCATCACTAAGTATAGGGGTGTTGTCCTCTGCAGGCTGCGGGTGATGGTAATAAAGATGGTCCCAGAGTTGCATTTATCCATATCCCTGGGGAGAGTGTGGCCCTGAAGAGACAGAGAAGAAGTGGTGGCAGTGACCTGAAAAAGCAGAGGGCATGGTTACTATGGCAACTTCAGAGTAGCAGCCAGGAGGACTCAAGTTGCAGGGAATGTGGGGAAGGTTAATAGAGGGTGGTGTCCCAGGGTTAGGACAGGCAGCCAACAAGGGCGCTGCTTGATATCTATGATAGGAATGAAAGAATTGAGGAGCAGGAGGGTGAAGGTGTTTGACCCAATACAAAGTCATGATCCCATCCTCAATGCCTAGACCTCAGCCAAGATTCAGATTCAGATCTCAGTGACAGAGGAGGAGTCCATATCCCTAGGAGGAAGACCCTGCAACCCTGTGGAAGTATATGCTGGCACAATTCCCTCAATCATTTGGCAAAGGAACCTATAGACATTTACTTGGGTGGTTGTACACTGGGGAAAGGAAACACGCAGAACTGGAGGGATTATTGACACTGGGTGTGAGCTGACATTGATGCCCAGATGCCCACAGCACTCATGTCTCCCATCACAGTGGGGCTTATGGAGGCCAGGGAGTAAACCTGGACAAATTATGGCCCACAATGGGACCACTGGGCCAACAGACCCAACGCTGGATATCTTTCAATTCCCTGAGTGCATGATTGACACTGCTGCACTGCTAAGTGGAGTCACCCCCACACTGGGTCCCTAGTCTGTGGAGTAAGGACTCTCATTGTGCTGAAAGCCAAACGGAAACCTCTGACACTGCCCACATCCTGGCCAAATCAAAAACCATAGTGTGTCCCAGGGTGGGTCTTGTGGAAGACACTGAAAGTATTATGGGGTCGCACCAACATTAGAGAGCTGAAGGATGTGGGGTGGTGTTGGGGCTGTCTATTGTCTCTATGTAATCCAGCAACCTGTCCCTGAGGGAAACTGGTAAGGCCTAAAGAATGAATGAGATTACTCCAGGTCTGGCCAAGTAGGAGTTATAATTGCAGCTTTTATGTTGTCTGGTTATCACTGGTAGAGCAGGTTAATAAAGCCCCGGGCACACAGTGTGCCGCTGTGGATTTGGTGAGTGCATTCCTTTCCATTCCAATTAGAAAGTGGATATGGGCTGGGCGCAGTAGCTCATGCCTGTAATCCCAGCTTTGGGAGGCCGAGGCCGGTGGATTACCTGAGGTCAGGAGTTCTAGACCATCCTGGCCAACATGGCAAAACCCCGTCTCTATTAAAAATACAAAAATTAGCCAGGCATCATGTCAGGTGCCTGTAATCCCAGCTACTCGGGGGGCCAAGGCAGGAGAATCACTTGAACACAGAAGGCAGAGGTTGCAGTGAGCCGAGATCACGCCATTGCACTCCAGCCTAGGGGACAAGAGCAAGACTTTGTCAAAAAAGAAAGGAAGGAAGGAAGGAAGGAAGGAAGAGGATATGGAGTGATTCACATTCATGTGGAATCAACGACACATTTATTTATTGTTTGCCTCAGGGCTATTGTAACACCTGTGCCCTCTATAGTATAGGCTTAAGACTGTACTGGACATACTGCATATCCTTTAGGATATTAAATCAGCACATTTCATTGACAACTTCATGTTGACTGGAGTAGATGAGCAGCAGGAAGAAAGTGCACTGTAGTCCTTTGCAAAACACACGCACCCCACAAGGTGAAGATAAACCTTATACAGCTTCAAAGGTGGGCACTGAAGTGAAGTTTTATGGGTGAACAAGTGCCAAGTGTTTAGGGGAATGCAGGTGTGTCCCCTCCAAGGTAAAAGAAAAACTGTTGCATCTTGCATCCTCACCAGAAGCAAGGAAGCACACTGCTTGGTGAGCCTCTTTGAATTATAACAACACCACATTCCACATCTAGACATTTTGCTTTGGCCCACAGTCTAGGTGACATAGGAGGATGCCAGCTTCAAGTGGGGCCTACACAGGAAAGGACCCTGCAGCAGATCCAGGCCATGGTACAAGCAGCCACCATCCCTCAGACCCCTGGGGCTGGTGGTGCCAGTGGTGGGGAAAGACACAGGATGGAGCTGAACCAAGCACCAGTGGGAGAGTCACAGTGGAGGGCCTGGGATTCTGGAGTAAGATCATGTCATCCACAGCAGAGACACATGCCCCCTGTTAGAAGCAACTTTTAGTGTTCCTTGTCCTGATTCAATAGAATGTTTGACCACGGGATACCAAGCAACTACGGGGTTCCAAGTGCCTGTGTGACCCACAAAGTCATAGATGGTACAGGCCCAACAGCATTCATCATCAGGTGAAAACAGTCCACCTGGGTTGAGCTTGAATCCCTTGCTGACACCCACAGAAAACACCCAAGTCTGAAGTGGCACTGAACTACCAAACAGACAAATGGCAGTTAGCCAGCTTTCACCATGGGTCAGCCCAGGCCTGGTAGGATGAGTGCATGAATGGAGCAACCACAGTGGCAGGCATGAGGCTCCGTAAGGGGCCAGCAGCACTGACTTCCCCACACCAAGGCAGATCCAGCTGCTGCCACCTCTGAATGTCCAACTCATCAGCAATTGAGGCCCATGATGTGCCCTAGTGGGGCACTATTTCTTTACATGACTACCCACTAAGTAACAAGTTGACTACATTTAGCTACTTCCAACCTGGAAGGGCCAGAGTTTCATCTTCACAGGGTTAGGTACCGATTCTATGGGTGGGTTTTCCTGTCCTGCTCTCAGACACAGCCAGCACCACTCTCTGGGTGCTGTTGACATTCCTGGTCTGCAGGCTAGGCAGTGCTCCTAGCCCATTATCTGCCTGAAGGACCCACTTTGCAGGGAAAGTTTCAGTGTTTCCACGGCTGTGGGTTCCACTAATCCTATCACCATCTGCACTACCCAGGAGCTGCCAGCCACAAGGAAGGCTGGACAGGTCTTCTACAGGCACAACTCAGTGCCAGCCTGGAGGAAGCACTCTGAGGGGTGGGTGCCATCTTTCAGGACACAGTGCATTGTTTGAATCAGAGACGTCTCTAGAGTTCTGTGTTCTCAATAGGAAGAACATGTGTGTCCAGAAATCAAAAGGCGGAAGCAGGTTTGGCTCCATGTCCAATCTCTTAGATTCACTCAATGGGGTATTTCGCATATTTTATCTCCCAACACTGGGCTGTGCAGGATACGAGGTTCTGGTTTCCAAAGGAGTGTACCCCTAAAAGGAGACAAAAGACAGCCCACTGAACTACACATTACTTTAGTCACCAGAGAAGTTTGGACAGTGTGTGCCCAGATACCACTTGGTGAGAAGAAGATTCTCCTCCTCTCCAGGCCCAGGTAATAAATAGATCCTCATCCCCAGGAGAAGGCATGGCTGTTTCACACAAGGGTAGAAGTGTGTGTGGAAACCAGAGATCCACCTGGGAGCCTTCTGGTTTCCCTTGCCCCATTGTAAGTGTGAGCAGAATCATCCAGCAATTCAGCCTGAGAGGATTTGATTTCCAAGGGCCCAGACCCGTCAGGGCAGAAGGTTTGAGTCACACTTGTGGGCAATCTCCCAAGGCCCTGCTCTTGTGTTCTGACATCCTCAGTACATTGGTGCTGAGGCCCTGCTTCCCATGGGCTGTTCCCAACGACTGATGGGTCATACCAGTGACACTAAGGCAGGACATTCCTAGGAGACAGGGGACTCCTCTGATGGCCAATTGTAGCTCGAGGACTCCTCTATGGCCTTGCTCAGTGAAGTCCTCAGATGATGCAGGCCTAGGCTGACAACTGGACTGCAACCTTGTGAGAGGCCCTGAGCCAGAAGCACTCAGGGAAACCTCTCCTGGATTTCTGATCATTGGAAACTGTGGGAGATGAGGAATATTTGTTGTTCTGAGCTGCTAAGTTTTACATAATTTGTTATGCATAGTAAATAACTAATACATTTTCACAAGACAGGATGCATTATTACATGTTAATTTGCATTTGCTCTAAATTTATCATCATCATTATTATTATTTTTGAGACAGGGTCTCACTCTGTCACCCAGGCTGGAGTGCAGTGGCATGATCACCATGCACTGCAGTGTCGACCTCCTGGGCTCAAGGGATCCTCTGACCTTAGCCTCCTGAGTAGCTGGGACTATAGTCATGAACCACCATGCCAGGCTAATTTTCTAGTTTTTTTGTAGAGATGAGAGTTTCACCATGTTGCCCAGGCTGATCTTGAACTTCTGGAGTCAACAAGTCTGCCTTCCTCTGCCTTCCATAGTGCTAGGATGGCAGGCGTGAGCCACCACCCCTGCCTAACTTAATTATAAGACATTAAACATGTAACTTAGTTTTAAAAGGAAAGGAGAAGTTCCATGGCTGAAGAGGATGTATTTTATTATCGTTCACAATGATCACTTTACTTGAACTTCAATTTCCAACTGTGTCCCAATTAAACACAAAAGGAAGATTCATCCCTTGCTAGAGTGATTCTATGATGGCCCCAACAACCACCTCCTGGTCATTCACCTTCCCCCAGTTATTCAACCAACTCTAATGTAGGTGCTGCTGTGAAGGAATTTAGCAGACATAATAAAGGGGCTCAATTAGTTGACTTCAGGCTGGGTTTATGCTGCTTGGACTGTCCTAATCAGGAGAGTCCTTGAAAGGACTGGGTTCTTCCTGAGCATAGAGATTCACAGTGTGAGAGGGATTCAGCATGAGGGGTTTCCTCCACTGTGGGCTTTGAAAATGAAGGGGCTGTGTAGGAAACAACACTGGTGGGCACCAGGAATTGAGTACAGCCCTCCCTGTTCTCTACATTGACAGCCAGCAAGGAACAGGGACCTCAGTCTTAAAACTGCAAGAAAGCACATTCTGCCACCTCTGTATAAGCCTAAAGGAGGATTCAAAATGAAGACTCAGATTTGGGAAGCCTGGAACAGAGATTCCATCTACATCATGCCCAGATTTCTGACTAAGGTACTATAAACAGATAAATGGGTGTTTTTTGGCCAGGCGTGGTGGTGCACTCCTGTAATCCTAACATTTGAGGAGCTGACACAGGAGGATCACTTGCAGCCAGGAGTGTGAGACCAGCCCAGGTAATACAGTGAGACACTCGTCTCTACACTTTTTTTTTTAATTAGCTGGGTGTGGTGGCACTTGTCTGCAGTCCTGTCTACTCTGAAGACTGAGGCAGGAGGATTCCTTGAGCCCAGGAGTTTGAGGCTGCAGTGAGCCATGATCATGTGACTGCACTTCACGCTGGATGACAGTTTTTAGAGACTCTGTCTCTAAAAACAAATAAATGAATACAATAAATAAAAACAAATAAATAAATACAATAAATGGGTGTTGTTTAAAGCCAATGTTTGTGATAATTTTTTACACAGTCTTATAAAATTCATACACAGGCTCAACAGACTAATGGAATGAACTGATGAATTGATATATACACTAGTTACATAAAATAAAATCTGAACTTTTTCAGTGTTTTGCATTTTATAATTATCTGTGATGCAATTTAATATACTCATATTTCATTCATTCAGTCAACAAAAATTAATTTAGTCCCTACAATGAACCAGGTATCCCCTCATATGCTCACGTGCCTGACATTCTAGAAGCTTCACAAGACCAAGGTGGAGCCACTGGAGTGTTTTAGGTGGAGAAATGACACACTTTGACTCACATTAGCAGGACCACTATGGAGAGAACAGTCACGTAGCAGGTAACGGGAGAGTGCCAGTGTCACAATTCAGGAGTGACAGTGTGATGGGGACTAAGGGGAGAGGAGGGGCTGAGTGATAAGAGGGACGGAGGGAAGGGCTGGAGAAGCAGTAGGTGAGGAAAAGGAGTAGAGGGATAGAATTCAAAAGCAGCACAACTCTTAGGTTTGAACACTTTTTTTAATGGTATTTCAATAGATCCATCTACAGAGCCTCGCAGGGTGTTACTTGCAGTTGGCCTTTAATACCTTAAGTGGGTCTGCTTAAAAACTAATTGTTTTTATGTTAATCAGGTTTTAAAAATACTAAGTGTTCCTAAGAAATATACACACCACTTAGATGTGGATACTTCCTAAAAACAGGCAGTGCATGAGCACTGGTGATGGACATTGTGACTGCATCGAGCGCTTGCAACTTTGAGGTGAATGAAGTCTGTACTGACTCCTGGTTGCAACACATAGGAACACAGTGGCTACTTTGTATTGAGGAGATGTCCTGGACTCACAGAAACTCAGGGCTATGGAATAAAGGTAAATTTAAAACACCACAAGCGGGAGTCACAGATACCTTGTTTGCAAAAGTGAAACTTAGGAGCTTTGTGAGTCCTGTTGTAATGCTTTTAGACACTTTATATATCAAGGGGCCAAAGTCACATGTTTTTACCGATTAGATTCCTGATCATTCAGGGGTTACCAAGATTCTGCTACCCACTGTAGTTAATACACAAAAAGCAAACTGGTCTCTATACTATCTCATGCACCCAGGCACAACTTTTCCAGATTTAAAGAAAAAGAAAAAAGAAATAAAAGAAAAAAACCTCTGTCTCTACACCTCCATTCCCAGGGAGAGCTCCCTCTCTGGCACCAAGCTCCCTGGGGTGAGTTTTCTTTTTGAAGAGTCCAGGAGAACAGGTAAGCAGTGGGGAAGCAGGGAGTCCATTTCAGGGACAGGAATTCCCGGATGAAAAGTGAAAGGAGAGGGACGGGGCCCAAGCTGAGGGTTTCTTCCTGGTTTCTCGGACAGCTCCTGGACCAAGACTCAGGGAACATTGAGACAGAGCGTTTGTCACAGGAGGAGCGGGGTCAGGGCGAAGTCCCAGAGCCCCAGGCATGGCTCTCAGGGTCTCAGGCCCCGAAGGCGGTGCATGGGCTGGGGAGGTGCAGCATTGGGGATTCCCCATCTCCGCAGAGTTTCTCTTCTCCCTCTCCCAGCCTGCGACGGGTCCTTCTTCCTGGACACTCACGACGCGGACCCAGTTCTCACTCCCACTGAGTGTCGGGTTTCTAGGGAAGCCAATCAGCGTCGCGCGGCCCCGGTTCTAAAGTCCCCACGCACCCACCGGGACTCGGAGTCTCCCCAGACGCCGACGATGGGGTCATGGCGCCCCGAACCCTCCTCCTGCTGCTCTCGGGGACCCTGGCCCTGGCCGAGACCTGGGCGGGTGAGTGCGGGGTCAGGAGGGAAACGGCCTCTGCCGTGAGGAGCGAAAGGTCCACCTGGCTGGGGCGCAGGACCCGGGGAGCCGCGCCGGGAGGAGGGTCGGGCGGGTCTCAGCCCCTCCTCGCCCCCAGGCTCCCACTCCATGAGGTATTTCAGCACCGCCGTTTCCTGGCCGGGCCGCGGGGAGCCCAGCTTCATTGCCGTGGGCTACGTGGACGACACGCAGTTCGTGCGGGTCGACAGTGACGCCGTGAGTCTGAGGATGAAGACGCGGGCGCGGTGGGTGGAGCAGGAGGGGCCGGAGTATTGGGACCTACAGACACTGGGCGCCAAGGCCCAGGCACAGACTGACCGAGTGAACCTGCGGACCCTGCTCCGCTACTACAACCAGAGCGAGGCGGGTGAGTGACCCCGGCCCGGGGCGCAGATCACTTACTCCCCGCTCCATGCCTCACGGACGGCCCTGGTCCCCTGAGTCTCCGGGTCCAAGATCGACCCCGAGGCTGCGGGACCTGCAGAGATCCTCGACCCGGGAGAGCCCCAGGCGCCTTTACCTGGTTTCATCTTCAGTTGAGGCCAAAATCTCCGCAGGTTGCTAGGGTCCGGGCCAGGGCTCGGTGGGCGGGGCTGACCGCGGGAACTGGGCCAGGGTATCACATCCTCCAGGGAATGTTTGGCTGCGACCTGGGGCCCGACGGGCGTCTCCTCCGCGGGTATGAGCAGTATGCCTACGACGGCAAGGATTACATCGCCCTGAACGAGGACCTGCGCTCCTGGACCGCCGCGGATACCGCGGCTCAGATTACCCAGCGCAAGTATGAGGCGGCCAATGTGGCTGAGCAAAGGAGAGCCTACCTGGAGGGCACCTGCATGGAGTGGCTCCGCAGACACCTGGAGAACGGGAAGGAGACGCTGCAGCGCGCGGGTACCAGGGGCCATGGGGAGCCTGCTCGATCTCCTGTAGATCTCCCGGGCTGGCCTCGCACAAGGAGGGGAAGAAAATGGAAACACCACCAGAATATCGCCCTCCCTCCTGTCCTGACGGAGAGGAATCCTCCTGGGTTTCCAGATCCTGTATCAGAGATTGACTCTGAGGGCCCACCCTGCTCTTCCTGGGACAATTAAGGGATGAAGTCTCTGAGGGAGTGGAGGGGAAGACAATCCCTGGAAGACTGATCCGCGGTCCCCTTTCACCCCACAGCAACCTTGGGCACCAGGACTTTTCCTCCCGGGCCTTGTTCTCTGCCTCACACTCAATGTGTCGGAGTCTGACTCCAGCTCCTCTGAGTCCCTTGGCCTCCACTCAGATCAGGACCAGAAGTCCCTGCTACCCTGCTCAGAGACTAGAACTTTCCAAGGAATAGGAGATTATCCCAGGCGCCTGTGTCCAGGCTGGTGTCTGGGCTCTGTGCTCCCTTCCCCACCCCAGGTGTCCTATTCATCAGGATGGTCACATGGGCGCTGCTGGGGTGTCCCATGAGGAATGCAAAGTGCCTGAGTTTTCCGACTCTTCCTTTCAGACCCCCCCCAAGACACACGTGACCCACCCCCCTCTCTGAACATGAGGCATAACGAGGTCCTGGGTTCTGGGCTTCTACCCTGCGGAGATCACATTGACCTGGCAGCGGGATGGGGAGGACCAGACCCAGGACATGGAGCTCGTGGAGACCAGGCCCACAGGGGATGGAACCTTCCAGAAGTGGGCGGTTGTGGTAGTGCCTTCTGGAGAGGAACAGAGATACACATGCCATGTGCAGCACAAGGGGCTGCCCAAGCCCCTCATCCTGAGATGGGGTAAGGAGAGAGATGGGGGCGGCCATGTCTCTTAGGGAAAGCAGGAGCCCCTCTGGAGACCTTTAGCAGGGTCGGGGCTGGGTCCTGGAGGTCAGAACCCTCACATTCCCCTCCTTTCCCAGAGCCCTCTCCCCAGCCCACCATCCCCATTGTGGGTATCATTGCTGGCCTGGTTCTCCTTGGAGCTGTGGTCACTGGAGCTGTGGTCACTGCTGTGATGTGGAGGAAGAAGAGCTCAGGTGGGGAAGGGGTGAGGAGTCGGGTTTGAGTTTTCTTGTCCCACTGGGGGTTTCAAGCTCCAGGTAGAAATGTGTTCTGCCTGGTTACCGGGAAGCACCATCCACATTCATGGGCCTACCCAGCCTGGGCCCTGTGTGCCAGCACTTACTCTTTTGTAAGCACCTGTGACAATGAAGGACAGATTTCTCACCTTGATGATTGTAGTGATGGGGATCTGACCCCAGTAATCACAGGTCAGGGGAAGGTCCCTGCTGAGGACAGACCTTAGGAGGGCAGTTGGTCCAGGACCCACATCTGCTTTCCTTGTTTTTCCTGATCCTGCCCTTGGTTTGCAGTCACACATTTCTGGAAACTTCTCGAGGTTCCAAGACTAGGAGGTTCCTCTAGGACCTCATGGCCCTGCTACCTTCCTGGCCTCTCACAGGACGTTTTCTTCCCGCAGATAGAAAAGGAGGGAGCTACTCTCAGGCTGCAAGTAAGTATGAAGGAGGCTGATCCCTGAGATCCTTGGGATATTGTGGTTGGGAGCCCATGGGGGAGCTCACCCACCCCACAATTCCTCCTCTAGCCACATCTCCTGTGGGATCTGACCAGGTTCTGTTTTTGTTCTACCCCAGGCAGCCAAAGTGCCCAGGGCTCTGATGTGTCTCTCACGGCTTGTAAAGCTGAGACCCTGGGGAGGCTGATGTGTGTGGGTTGTTGGGGTAACAGTGGATATAGCTGTGCTATGGGGTTTCTTTGACTTGGATGTATTCAGCACATGATGGGCTGTTGAAGGTGTGACCCCTCACTGTGAGTGATATGAATTTGTTCATGAATATTTTTTCTATAGTGTGAGACAGCTGCCTTGTGTGGGACTGAGAGGCAAGATTTGTTCATGCCTTCCCTTTGTGACTTCAAGAACCCTGACTTCTCTTTCTGCAAAGGCATCTGAATGTGTCTGTGTCCCTATAGGCATAATGTGAGGTGGTGGGGAGACCAGCCCACACCCGTGTCCACCATGACCCTGTTCCCCACACTGACCTACATTCCTTCCCCGATCACCTTTCCTGTTCCAGAGAAGTGGTGCTGGGATGTCTCCATCTCTGTCTCAACTTCATGGTGCACTGAGCTGTAACTTCTTACTTCCCTATTAAAATTAGAATCTGAGTATAAATTTACTTTTTTCAAATTATTTCCATGACGGGTTGATGGGTTAATTAAAGGAGAAGATTCCTAAAATTTGAGAGACAAAATAAATGGAAGACATGAGAACCTTCCAGAGTCCACGTGTTTCTTGTGCTGATTTGTTGCAGGGGAGGAGAGTAGATGGGGCTGTGCCCAGTGTGTGCTCAGGCCACCATGGGCTTTATGTGGTCACAGCTCACCTGGGTCATCTTTGCTGCTCCACTGTCCTTGGCCCTTCAGTAGAACCTTGTCCCACCAGGACCTGTGATCACAGGGACTTGGATGTCACCTAGGGTGGTCCCTACACATCGAAGTCCTTCCGGTATGAAGAGACAAATTTTCAGTCCCCTGTATCTTTTGCCCTCCTTCCAGGTCTCTTTCCTGGATTGTATTTTCCATCTTTTTCCCCAGCCTTCTTAAAGGAAGCAGATTCTGAAATTTGCAGAGAGGAGGGGTCCCATAGTTTCTCATCGTAGGTAACTTTCTGTTGGAACTCCTCTTCTGCTTTCCTACTCTTCTTCCTGCCTGAGTTGTAGTAATCCCAGTGCTGGCTCCAATCCAAACTCATGCATTTATAAAGCAGAGTCTGATTTAGATTTATATGGGGTTGGAAAATTGGACCCACAAGGCTAGGATTATCTTTCCTGAACAGAAAAATATGGCTGTGCGCTGCAGTGTGCAGGAGGGTTGGTGTGGGAGGAGGTGGGAAGGACACACAAGCAGCCCTGGTGAGAAAAGCACTGGCAGCACTGATGTTGGTGTGAGATGATGTTGTTCTTTAGCTACGTTAATAAAGATATTGCCTTTAGAATACAGAGGTGCTCTACAGTGATCATTCATTCAACTGACATTTGTTGTCTGCTAGGTATATGACTGTTTTTGCATTTAGAAAACATCATTAAAGTAAAAACAGAAAAATTTCTGGCCTTGTGGTGTATACGTTCTAGATGCAAGCTTGTCCAACCTGCAGCTCTCGGGCTGCGTGTGGCCCGGGACAGCTTTGAATGTAAGAAGTTTTTTTGCTTATCTGTGGTAGCAAATATCATGAAAATTATGCACGCACATGTTTTTCTTTTTTCTATTCTTTCTGCTCATCAGCTGTCATTAGTGTATTTTATGTGTGGCTCAAGACAATGCTTATTCTTCCCAACTGGCCCAGGGAAGCCAAAAAATTGGACACCTCTGTAGGCAGATGATAGATATAGTATAAGCAGAGTAGGAACAGAAAATGCTTGAGTTAGAAGGTGGCAAGTGCTGTGTGGCAGGTGATCCAGAGGGTGGGCTGTGGGGACAGGAAGGTGGCTGTTGTGCTGGGTGGTCAGCATGGGCCTTGTTGCAAATGTGACCTTGGAGTAAAGATTTGAGGGATGTGAGGAGTTGTCTACAAGGATGTCTGGGAAAGTTCTTTTCAGGCAGGGGAACCTTCAGTGCAGATGCACTAGGGCAGGAAATTGTCTGTGTTCCTGGAAGGAGGAAGAGGCCAGAAGGGCTGGACACAGAGAAACTGAAGTGAGGTCAAAGGTGTGGCTAGAGCAGGTAGCCCTGAAGGGTGTGGGAAGGGTGTTGACCTTTGCTCTGAATGACATGGGGAGGACAGTTTTGAAAAGTGGGACATGGTAGGGCTCATCCTTTGAAAGCTTCTTTCTGGCTGCTGTGCTGAGAACAGAATTGAGAGGTGGGGAACCAGTGATGCAGTGGGGAAAATGGTGGGAAAGGAGTACAGTATTCTAGGATGGACACGTTGCTTACCTTGACTAGGGTGTGAGCAGGGGAAATAGTGAGAAGTGAAGGGATTCTGGATGAATTTGAAGATGGACTCACAGCACTTGCTAATGGATGTGAGAAGAAGAATCAAGGACACCCACAGTATTGGACTGAGTGAGCAGAAGGGTGGAGCTGCTGTCAGTGGAGATAGGGAGACTCTGGCAGGAGTACACAGAGGAGAGGGCATCGCAGGCATTCAATGGAGGAGACATCTATGAGGAATGCAGGTGAGGGGCCCAGATGCCTCTGCAGCTACAGATTCATCATCCAATCACTCTCCTACTCCCACCACCCCTGTGTCTCAGAGCCAGAGCACTGATTCTCCCCTGGGCTGTGGGCACAGGTAGGTGAAAGTCAGGGAAGTTGTGGTCTGCTATTGGTTATAAGAAGTCACAGATCATTATGCTTTCTCAGATAATTAAAGAAATAATAAGAGAATGTGTAATTAGGACACTTAGAAGACTACAATAATGCAAAGGTTTTTATTCATCTAAAGAAGGTAACATAAGAAAAATAGTTGAGCAAGAAAGAGATAATATTAGAAGGCAGCAAATGACAATGGACAGACTTAAACCCAATGAGGTCAATAATTACATTAAACATAATGGACTCAGACACTCCAATTACAAGACAAATAGTGCAGGGGGGTAAAAATAAATAACTAAATAAATAATCATGGGCTGTTTACAAAAGACATAATTTCAGTAGAAGGTAAAGAAAAGTTGAAAGTAAAAGGATAGAGAATACCAGACAAACATTCATGAAAGACCACATGGAGACGCCATTTAGAAAAATTACAGGATATGAGTCTCCTGAGACATAGAGTACACGTAGACAGCTCACAAGGTCTTTTTCCCTTTTTTCAGAGACAGGGTCTGTTGCCCAGGTTGAAATGCAATGGTGATATCATACCTTACTGTAACCTCAAACTCCTGGGCTGGAGCAATTCTCCTGCCTCAGCCTTCCGAGTAGCTAGGACCACAAGCCTGTGCCGCCACACCTGGCTATAATGTCTCATTTTCTCATTTGCTGTGGTGTGAACAAGGAAACAATACCATGCCATGTATTTGACTTGCAGCAGGTACACAACAAATGTCAGGTGAATTAAGAAATAAAACCACTTAGTAATCCAAGCCATATCCACATTTACATCTTACAGATGAGGAGCAACATCCCAGACAAGTAAAGTAAAATAAATTGATTTACATCATCCAGAGCAGAATCGAGAACACATTCCCTGTGCTAAAGGAATCAGAGCTCTACTAGGGGTCATAGCAGATATCATGCAAGTCACATATGTTAATTACTAGAACAGGAATTGATACATTTCAAGATATACTAAACAAAGGGTTTGGAAGGATTAACTGAATGCAGAAATAGAGGAAGAAAATGGATTTGTTTAAAAGATGGTTAGAATCTTTAAAGAAACAACATTTTTTTAAAGTGGCCTTATGTGGACCAAAGCAGAGATGAACTCAAGTGTCAGGTGGGAAAATGCCTAAGTGCAGCTTCTAGACCCAAGGGAGACCTAAAAATCCTGGGACATTTTCGGTTGTCACATGGGGATTGGTGGGAGGGGGTGAGTGGGGTGTTGCTGGCAAACCTCCCACAATGCACAGGACAGACCACTCCACAAGATTCTCTGTCCCAAATTGTTAATAGTGCTGCTGTTGAGAAACCCGCCCCAGAGGTAAATGCTGTAATGTCCTCACCATTTCACAGATTAAGAAACTGAGGCACCAGGGGGAGAAGTGTCAGTAAGACCTGAGCTGCAGGTTGAATCCAGGCCACTTGGCTACAGGGTCTTGGCTCCCCTGGTTAAGTCAGGGACCCAGTAGCCGACCACAAACAATCCCAGCTGCACGGTGCCTTCATGGTCTGTGGGCGCCTTCATGGTCTGTGGCGCCCCCTGGTGTTGACACTGGGCCTGTGGCCAAATGAGGCTTGAGGGAAAAGGAAAAAACAGGTTTGGGTAGGGGGATACTCTTTCAGGCTCTCCAGATTTCCAGCCACGACTTACGCTCAGAAAAAATAATGTCCACCTTAATTATCTCTCCAACCCTGTTTTTCCCTGTCCCGGCTAGTTCCCTCCCTTGACTCCATCAACATCGGCACCTGCCAGACGCCCACCACCCACCATGTAAGGAGTGAAAAGGCCCCAGGACTAAATGACAAGACGAGGTTCCACCCCAGCCATCCCTCCCCTCCTAGAGCTCTAGCTCTGTGCCTTTAGTGCTTAGGCTCTTAACCTGGGGTCCAGGAACCCACTTTCCTATGACACTGCGTGAAGAAGTGATGTTACACGCACACATGACTTCACTACAGGACATTGGATATTAATATTCATCAGATCAGCTAGAGGCCCAAGATACCACTCTTCTCCCAACAGTTTGTGATCCTCTGAATTAAAGAAAGGGTAGGGATTGAGGGAGGCCCTAACTCCAAATCTTCTACCACTTCTAGCGAAGTGCTGAGAAGAAGTGCAAGGTACTCAACCTGCTCTGGGGATACAGCAGGAAAGCAGAGTGTTTACGGATTTCACATTCCATCAAAGAAAATCCATTTTGACAAAATATCCAAGTCACTTTTCTAAGCCCCAGGCAGCAGTTCAAACAAATAACATCAAAAAAACCAAAATCTTGGCCCAGGTGAAATCATTGAAGCTATAAAACTTTGTGAGACCTGTAGTTAGAGAGAAGGACAATTCAGTTTAGGGCTGCAGCAGAAAATTCCTATATCATATTGTGTTCTTCTTCATCATGAAGGTCCCCTGAAGGGACCTTCTCCCTTCAGCAGTGCATAGTGAGGCCATTTCCGTGCAAAAAGATAGAATCTCCTGGGATTCCTGATGTTTACACTTACTACTCACTCCTTCACTTTGTAGATGCCAACTTCACATTAGACATCTTTCAGTTAATTTCCTTACTCTGTCTAAGCAGAATATTTAAACTTCTTTCTGAAGCAGAAAACCAGGGACTGGTTATGTGAGCTATCACCCCACTCTGTGGCTCTCTTAAGCAATAAGCATAAGAGATTGTGGGCCAACAGAATTTGTAGCAAGGTAAACATAACCCTTCATTTCAGCCTATGTTTCAGCTTGTCTAGTGATGTTCCAGTCTTGCTCCAGTCTTAACATTTTAAAATTTATAATTTTACTTGAATATGATTTTATAAGAAGTCATATATATTCATTTCTGTTGAGTCTGTCAGTGAAAGCCTTCTCAAAACAACTGTGAAGTAAAGACAGGTAAATAAATGCATGGTGCTCCCATGTATTAATGCTCACTGCATCTTACAAATGTGTCAGCCCCACTGCAACAGATGGTGCATCAACAAATGGTGCTGGAAACCTGGATATCAACATGCAAAAGAATGATGCTGGAAAAAATTCATGTCCTTCCATTACACCCTTTTCAAAAATTAAGTCAGAATGACTCAAAGAACTAATCTTAAGAATTGAACCTGTAAAACCCTCAAGAAAATACTGAGGAAAATCTTATGGACATTAGAATTGGTAGTGGTTTCTTGGCTGGTGACCAATAGTACAAGTAATATAAGAAAAATGACAAATTAGAATGCATCAAAATTTAAAAACTTTTTTGCATCAAAGGACACTATTAAGAGAATCAAAAGAAAATGCACAGACTAGGAGGAAATATTTGCCAATCACATATCTGATAAAGAATTAATATCCAGAATATGTAAAGAACTACAATTCAACAATAGCAAAACAATCTCATTCAAAAATAAGTAAAAGACATGAATAGACAATTCTCCAAAGAAGATATACAATAAGGACATAAAAATAAGGAATGCTGGTCAGGCATGGTGGCTCATGCCTGTAATCCCAGTACTTTGGGAGGCCGAGGTGGGCGGATCACGAGGTCAAGAGATCAAGACCATCCCGGCCAACATGGTGAAACCCCGTCTGTACCAAAAAAATACAAATATTAGTTGGGCATGGTGGCAGGTACCTGTAGTCCCAGCTACTCAGGAGGCTGAGGTAGGAGAATCACTTGAACCTGGGAAGTGGAGGTTACAGCGAGCCGAGATTGTGCCACTGCACTCCAGCCTGGCAACAGAGCAAGACTCTGTTTCACAAAAAAAAAAAAAAAAGGAATGCCAATAAGGACATAAAAATATGGCAAACTTCACTAGGCCAAGTGTTGGTGAAGATATGGAGAAACTGGAACACTTGTACACTGCTGGTGAGAGTATACAGTGGTGCAGCCACCATGGAAAACAGAATAGTGATTCCTCAAGAAAGTAAAAATAGAATTACTATATGAGCCAACAATTCCACTTTTGGGCATACCCAAAAGAACTGAAAGCAGGAACTCACCCAGATATGTGTACACTCAGGCCCATAGCAGCACTATACCCAATATCCAAAAGGTGGAAGCAACCGAGTGTCCATCAGAGGATGACTGGATAAACAACCCACGGTGCACATAAGCATGGAATATTATTCAGCCTTAAAAGTGAATGAAATTCTAATTGGATGAGCCTTGAAAACACTATAAGTGAAATAAGCCAGAAATAAAAACAAATATGATATTTTACTTATATAAAGTAGCTAGAATAAGCAAATTCATAGAAACAGAAAATAGAATAGAGATTACCAGGGGCTGGGGGTAGGGAGAATGGGCAGTTATGGTTTAATGGGTACAGTTTCTGTTTGGGATGATGAAAATGTTCTGGAAATGGATATTGGCGGTGGTTACACAACACTGTAAATGTGCTTACTGCCACCAAATTGTACACTGAAAAAATGGTTAGAAGGTAAATTATATAGTATGCATGTTTTACCACAATTTACAAAAAATATATCAACACTAAATCCAATCACAGCTCTCATCGAGTTTTTTTATACTGGTGTTTCAACAAGCACATTGCCGCTGTGGAGGGGAGGGGTCCTTGGAGTTCTTATGCCACCATGTTCTTTGGTGTCACTTCTCAGCACAACTTTGGTGGTCAGAGCACAACTTGGTTTTATACATTTTAAGGGGACATGAGACAGTGATCAACATATGTAAGCTAAAGATTGATTCCGTCTGGAAAGGCGGGACAACTCGAAGCAAGGAGGGGGCTTCCAGGTCACAGATAGATGAGAGACAAATGGTTGCATTCTTTTGAGTTTCCGATTAGCCTTTCCAAATGAGGGAATCAGACATGTGTTTATCTCAGTGAGCAGAGGGGCGACTCTGAACAGATGGGAGGCAGGTTTACCCTAAGCAGTTCCCAGCTTGACTTTTCCCTTTAGCTTAGTAATTTTGGGGCCCCAAGATTTTATTTTCCTTTTACAGAACCATCAATACTTACAGAAAAAAAAAAACCCTGAATGTACACAAACCTCTATACCAAACTACCAATTTACAGAAAATACAGGTAATAGAAATACATTAAACCACACCTTGGCGTGCAATCCACAAAATGCAAACAATAGGAAACCTTACCATACAATATAAATTTCAAGGAGAAACCTATGGAACAAATGAGAACAAAAAACATATTTTTAAAGGTAAAACTAAACTATAATTTTGGATGATGAAAATATAAAGTCCAGCATAGGGAAGCAGTTCCTTTAGAATTTTAGTCACAATTAATGGAAGGGTACTGAAACCTGCTATTTCCCAGTTGAATAACAGGTCCTGGGGATATAGAAGGTCTTGCCACAAGTTGAATCCATAACTGCTGCTTTCCTGGTACCAGGGAGAACAGGTTTCCTATCAAGGACTGGGTAGGAGTGTTTGCCAGGCCTGTATCAGCTATTGCCCAAGTTTCCACTTTACAAAAGTGCCATGCATACATGCAACAACATAGTGCCTTCTCCATGCATCCCTTAAGAGATGAACTGCATGCTATCTTAGGGCCAGTACATTATGAGTCCAGTGCTGCCCCTATTGTGGAGCCCTCACAGGAGATGTCTCCAATGGTACATGAAGGCATGGCCCTCATTCCTGATAATGCTTGGTACTTAGATGCATTGAGCCAAGGTAACCCTGTGTATGGACAGTAGTAGCTGCACAACCACAGACAGTATCTGGTTTGAGATGGGAATGCAACAGAGCAGTCAATGGGCAGAACTCCAAGCTACATGGTTGGTTTGTACCCGTGAGCCACCACCTATAGTTCTCTGTACAGACAGTCTGGCAGTACTTAAGGGTCTTACAATTTGGCTTGCCCAAAGGGCCTGAGATGATTGGTATATAATTTAAAAATCCTTATGGGGAGCTGATATGTGGAAAGACATTTGGAAAAGTCTACAGGAACCCACTGTGGACCTAATTGCTTCAGCACACTGGTCAGATTCACCTCCCAGAAACATGGAGGCAGACATCCTAGCAAAAATTAGAATACTGAGCTAGTTGATTAGGTACATATCACAGTGGGGATTTCAGTGCATGAATGGGCTGCCAAATAGCAAAGGGAGCAGGATTGGCTCTCTGCTATGCAGATTTAGTGGTGGCGGTAGCAAACTGCTTAATTTGTTCCCGTCTGTACCTCTGCCACATCCCACATACACCTGGACATATACATAAGACAGCCACCCCTGTGACAGACTGGTAGATAGACTACATCAGACCCTTGCCAGTAATCTTGAGACGAAAGTATGCACTAACATGTGTATACACTGCCATGGGATTGTTGCAAGCTTTCCCTTGTAAGAGCAAACCAAACAGCCACCATCAGGGGCTTGGAGCAACTCAGTGTCATGTAAGGATACCCTCCACATATTGATAGCAATCGAGGCATGCATTTCACCAGACACGGTGTCCAAGACTGGATGCATGAAAGGGACATAGACTGGGTATTTCACTTACTGTATACTCCCCCAAGCAACAGGGTTGATTGAAAGGAAAAATGGTATTTTGAAGGCACAGTTTTGAGCACTCTCAAAATCCAATATCTTTCATAGTTAGACAAAGATTTTGCCTCAAGCCATTAGAAACCTTAATTTAGTTGAGACAAATATGGTGCTGGCACCACACCAATGACTCAGGACCACCACAGAGATGGATCCATTAACCATAATAGTAAAGAAAGTCCAACCAGATGCATCTCTGACCTGAGCAGATAAAAGGCCAATGGCAAAGGTTATTTAGAACTCCTCAAGATCTTGAGCCAGGGAGGAGACACTTGAATGGGGGTTGGACTAGCAACTTCCCCTATGTTGGATAGAGCATTTCTTTCCAGACAGCAAGGAATTCCCTACCAACTAAAGTGGTCTCCATTGATCCTGCTGAAGTCTGGGCCAAAACACTCCACATACCAATAAACTGGAACACAGTCCCTTTTAAGAAGCACCCTGGCTGGCCATTTGACATGGTCCTTTGCTGCCCCTGTAACCTTACACATAATACCAGCGCCTTTGCCCCTCAGGCAACATGTTTGGTGTGTACTCCCAGCCCACAATCCTATGTTCCTAATCAACAGAGATGGAGCTACCAGTAATTCTGTTTAATGGGGAAGAACTGCCCCACCAAATACCTACTAAACATTTTTAATTCCACCCATAGTCTTCTGTTCCTATTGTTGTTCTGCTCTATACCTCTTGGTTTGGTTCCTGAATAAACATGGTAAAGGGCATTTTTAATTCTGTGTCTTACACCTGGCATACATATCATCGCCTGTTGTTTGTGTTGTTGCTGTGGCCCCTGCTTAACAAGTAGAAAACAAATTGATAAAATGTGTCACTCACACCATCAAAATGTCACCCACAGCCCTCTCTGAAGGCTCAGGGACTATGGGGGAAATGTGAGTCCATGAGATTGTAAGAGCTGGATTAGAGGGCTGGGATGTGGAGAGAAAAGTGACTCCCTCTTGGATGCTAATTCTCTATGCTGACTTCTGATTAGCCCCAGTCCCAGGACTGACTCCTGATTCCCACTTTATTTACCATCCCTATTGTAAGAACATGTCAACCTTGATGTTATACAAATTCTAGGCTATGACACATTAGCATTCTTACCTGTTCTGGACAGTAGTAGCCTTTGTCTTGCACAGAGCATGTATACTCTTCCCCTGTGGTATATAAGCCCTGGGTGTGGGGGTAATAAGTGCAGAAACCTACCTGTCTTGCTGCCATCCAAGACCACGCTTCTGTCTGTAAGTTCCCCAATAAAACACTCTTTACTGACAACTAGATTTGTCTGTCTTGTTCCTTGGTTTATTGGCTCCTTTGGCATTTGGGGGGCACTTTGCATAGATGGCCCTTTCATGGAACAGAGGGTCTGTGTGGGGCTGGGAGCCCAAGTCAGCACTTGCAGTCAGAGCCTAGAACATGTGCTGAGGAGACAGAGCTAGACCTGTTAGCAGAGACAGACCTGTTAGCGGAGTGGATAGCTGGGCCAGCAGGTCTGAAGTAACGCTATGGAAGAGCAGGCCAGTAACAGCTGAAGAGCTTCAGAAACTCCCACTTCTAACAAGGTCACTTCCTCTAAGAGGGACTACTGTTGTATCATAGTACACAGCTGTCTCTGCCTGGCTGTCCTAGTAAATATGCAGCATTTGGGGGCATCCACACTACTGGAACAGTAGCCATGAGAAGAGTCCATTGTGCCAGCTTAATTGCACCCAACTGTACAATGAGAACATGGGGATCAGTGTGTTCTGCTACTTCTCTGCTTAGCATTCCTGATATACCTGCTTTACATAGGCACCATGTGGCACCGTGGTGTGTGCCTGTGCCACTTTGAATCACATTTGGGTATCTATTGGAAGGCTTCTTCGGGACTGTTGTGACACCAACTACACTATGGACTGATCCCTGTCAGAAGGTAACAAAGGGGCAAGGGACAGCATTTCCAGTCTAAGCCCTGGAATGTGCGTGGCATCAAACTGTTTTGCATTTGTGAGCAGGAATACAACTGCTGGACAACAGATATTCCATCAGCCAACAGAAACTGTGACTGGCTTTAAAGAAAATGGGCTTCCCTTGGTCTTGGGAACACAAGACTCAGCAGTATAGAAACAGAAATGGTTGCAGGTGGAGGAAGCACTTTCGCCGGAGTCAGGAAAGCATGAATAACACAAAATCTTCAGCTTTTCCTCCCTTCTCTCTCCTGAGCTTTCTGCACCTCTGCTGTAGCAGTGATGGCAGCAGTGTGGAGAACACAGCCTCAGGGAACAACCAAGGTCCAGGATCACTAGCAAAGGTTATGAGAAACTATGACTTCCTTTAGAAAAAAAAAAAAGGGAAATGAGAGTGCCCAAGGTCTTAGGAGAGGGCTGGTGCAGGCCTGGGGCATAGTAAATTCTTTAGCTTGTCTAGATTCACCATGCCAAGTGGGGAGGTTGCTTGGGTCAGACTATATTAAAGGACAGCATCTCCACCCTCCCCTAGAGGTCTCAGAATGTCCACTGACTGTGGCTTTAGTGGTCCTTGAACAGAAATTTGGTAACATGAAGAGTAGCAGATGCTGGCATGGTAAGATTACAAATGTGTATCAGAAGAATTATTTTGTGGGTAACAGAAAAAACAACATATAAAGAAACAAGTTAATACCATGAGAATGTCATTAGCCAAACTCAGAATGTGGATCATTCTACAGGACAAGTAACCTGGCTTTTTTGGGGAAACAGAAGCATAGGAGAGCCAGGGTGACACCATTTTAAAGTCAACTCCATCTTTCAACTAGCAAGGCATATTCCTTGCCAGTCACAACCCATGGTCATAAGAGGTTTACAGCTGATTAAACAACTTAATAATGCCTGCAAGAACAAACGCCTATGACAGACAACAGAATGTCCACATGTCCTGACGTCACATTATAATATATGCTTTTAAGATTATTATAGTCATGCTTTGATATACTAACTAAAATGCCAAGGATAACTTTCTTTAAATCAATAGGTCCTAAATTTTGTCATGCTGTCAGAGCACCCACACATAGACATTTAACTTAGCTTTTATGTAGATTAAACCCCTACATTAGAAGAGTTTACAACAAAGATGGTGCATTCTTCCTTTTGCTTTCTGAGGACACCTACTCTGTATCTGAGTAACTTTCAATAAACTATCTCCTTCTCACTGCACTCTGTGACTCACCTTTAATTCCTTCCTGTGCAAGATCCAAGAATACTCTTTTGGGGTCGGGATCGGGACCTGTTTTTCTGGTAACAGTTTCTCCAACAAATCAAAGCCTTGAGAAAAAAAAAATAGGTAGGGTGGGTGGTATGGTATAGAAGAACAGAGAATAATGAGACATAAGAAGCAATTGCAATGTGTGGACCTTCTCTAGCTTCTGTTTCAGACAGACCAATTGAAAAAGACAAGACAGATATTTGAATATGCATTGACTGTTTAGCAAAATTAGAGAACTGTTGTTAATTTTGTTAGTGTGAGAATAGCATGGCTTTATGTTTTTTAAAAACCCTATTCTGTGAAAGATGCATGCTGAACTATTTAACTGTGAAATTGTATGTAAAGGATTTGCTTTTACAATCCTCCAGAGATGAGTTTATAATGATATAAATGATGTGATAAATAAATCAATGGAGGAGAGGAGGCAAAATCTCTCCTGCAGAAGAACTCCAAATAAGGTAGGTAGATACTTTGTCCTTAAAGGAACAGCATTAACTCCCTCTTCTGGAAGTGTGAATTCTTGATATCATGTAATGAAAATGGTACCTCACTTGTGGCTTTCCTCCCCCCGAATCCATAACCTCTACTTATTATGAAAAAAAAAAAAAAAACAAAAAAAAAACACCGAATTCCAATAGAGGAACATTCTATAAAATACCTAACTAGTATTCCTCAATAACGTCTAGGTCATCAAAAACAAGGAAAATCTGAGGAATTGTCACAGCCAAGAGGAGCCTAAGGAGGCATGACAACCCCATGTAATAGGGTATCTTGAATGGGACCTTGGAGTAGAAAAATATTATTAGGTAAAACTCAAGGACACCTGAGTAATGTATGACTTTTGGTTAAAAATAATGCATCAATATTGGTTCAATAATTGTAAGAAATGAACCATACTAATGTTAGATGTTAATAACAGGAGAAACAACTTCTCAATTTTCCTGTAGTTAAAACTGTTCTAGAACTGAAGTCTATTTTTTAAAATTCTCCTGGAAAAAAGTGGAAACATATGAAATATGATGGACAAATGTTAGTAATTATTGAATGTGATGATGGATAATGAGAATTCATTATATAATTCTGTTTTTGTGTATTTGAAGTTTTCTATAATGGAAAGTTTGAGGCTGGGCACAGTGGCTCAAACCTATAATCCCAGCACTTTGGGAGGCCAAGAGTTCAAGACCAGCCTGGGCAATGTAGTGAGACCCCATCTCTACCAAAAAACAGAAGAATTAGCCAGGTGTGGTGGGCTTGCACCTGTAGTCCTAGCTACTCAGGAGGCTGAGGTGAGAGGATCACTTGAGCCCAGAAGGCCAAGGCTGCAGTGAGCCATGATGTCATTGTACTCCAGTCTAGGTGACAGAGAGAAACCTTGTCTCCAAAAATAAAAAATAAAAAAAGTTTGAACAAGAAATAAAGAAATATGGAGATAAGGATAAGAAGAAGCTATTTAAAGCACTAGAGTAGCTGCTTTTTTAAATTATGGTTAAAAAAATATATAATAAAATTTACCATTTTGCCATTTTTAAGTGTATAGTTCTATGACATTAAGTATATTCATGCTGTGTAACCATCACCACCCTCCATCTCCAGAACTTTTTCATCTTCCCAAACTAAATGCTAGGTCTATTAAGCAACATCTCCTCACTCTCTCCTCCTCCCCAGCCCCTGATAACCTCCATTCTACATTCTGTCTATGAATCTTACTAAACTAGGTGAATCATGTAAGTGGATTCATACAATATTTTTCCTTTTCAGTCTGATTTATTTAATCTAGCTTCATGTCTTCAAGGTTCATACATAATACAGGAAAATAATTTCCTTCCTTCTTCTGAAAAATATTCCACTGTATGGATCTACCATACTTTGTTCATCCATCGATGGATGTATACTCTGTTGCTTCTACCTTTTGGCAGTTGTGAATAATGTTGTTATAAACATGATGTACAAATATCTGCTTGGTCTCTGCTTTAACTTCTTTTGGGTCTGTACCCAGAAGAGGAATTGCTGGATCATATGTCAATTCTATGTTTAATTTTTTGAAGAACAAAAAGTGGCCGCTTCTACAAAACAGAAATTTTCAGATTAGGAGATGTGGGACAGGGAAAAATTCCTGTCTCTGAAAAGTTAAGAGTTTTCACTATAAGCTTTGTAGAACCATTTTTAAATAATATATGATAAAAATGAAGTAAAGTATGCAATAAAACTCATCTTGTGCTAAGTACTGGAGATACATGGAGGGAGCCCTCAGTCCTCTGGGGGAAGAACCTGGTTATAGAACAGTGTGATCACAGGTGCAACACAGAGAAGACTCCAGGGGCAAGCACAGAAAATAGCCATCAAGGGAGATTCTTTGCACGCCATGCAGAAGTGCCCTACAGGAGGTGATGTGGGAGTGAAGGAGGAAAATATGACATTCTGAGTTGGAGAATTGGAAGATTAAACTTGGAATGATGTCAGCACTGAGATTCTGGGATCATATTGTACAACTGGCCCCATCTCAGCACTAACACTGTGAAATCTTACCTTTCTTATGTCTTCAAATTGTGGCCCTATATTTAGCTTCTATATCTTTCTTTGACTAAATCTCAAAACTAAAATTGGTCCTGATTCCAGGGGAGGTGTTTCTCTGACTCCTCTCTTTTGAATCTCATAGCCTGACATTTTCTCTTCATCTTGAAGACCATATTCAGGAGGGACCCTAGGAACTCTGTATCTCAGCATGTGAGGCTTCAGGCCAAGGGGTGCTAATTTGATTCTGAAAGATCTTATCTGCCTCCAGCGCCATAAGGTCCTGATGAAATGTCCAGCATCTTTGTGGAAATTCAAGTGTCTCCATACAGCATTATATGTCTTGGAGATTATGTATATGAAAAGCTTTACAGATAGGTGTGTCTCAGTGATGCTGTGCAGAGTAACCTGTGGCCTAAGTCAAGTCAGAAAATGCTTTTGACTCTATATTTCTCAAAAATGTAAGTCTTAAAATTTGGCTATGGATGGGAAAATATTACATAATTGAAAGGATAAATATAAGTATGCCAATCAGCCAAAAACACTGCAAATGTTTAATGCAGATTTAAGTTTTCCCTCAAAAACTGTTAATAAATTAATAGTGCAGCTTACAAATGATGAAAAGAGCTGAGACGTTTAAAAAAACTTTCCAAGTGTCAGGTCCTGGTACTTTACATTTATTCTACCTCCTAATCCTTATACTAGGTCAAAGCTCATTTTATGTCTTCAAGATTCAGATGTAACACTGGGAATGAGAAAGGTTAATATAAGTGATATGTCCAGGACTATACTTCTAGTAATTATAGCTCACTGATGGAGAGAACATTAAAATCTGTTTGGCCTTCACTTAAAAACAAATAATATTTGTGTTATAGAAGCAAGACCTTTTTAGTCACAAGTTAATAATTTTAAAGAAAAGATTCAACATGTAAATTTATCTGGAAAGGCCAGGGGTGAGGCTGCCTAGAGACATGATTAGATTCGGAGATACATTTGTCATCAGATCTCTCTGTACTTCTAAAGAAGATAGCCAATATCAGCTTATCAGCTCCAACTCCTCTCATATTATTCTACCTTAACAGCTTCAGCAGAAAAATAGACATCTTTCTCACAATGTTCATAAATAAAGAACCAGAGAAGATGACCTTTGGACCAATACCTGTTGTTATGGAGATGTGGTACAGTGTGGGAAACTCTGATTGGTCAGGGCTGGGTCATGTTATTTCCTCATCCCCTGGTCCATTATATTATTTCTTAAGTTATTTAAAGTCATGGCTACTATTTTTATTTATTTTAATTGACATAATTATACATATTGATATAGTACAGTGTGATATTTTGATACATGTATACAATGTGTAATAAGCAAATAAGGGTATTTAGCCTATGCATCACATCAAACGTTTACCATTTCTTTGTGATGGAAACATTCAAAATCATATCAAAAAGATAATCCACCACAATCAAGTGGGTTTCATACCAGGGAAGAAGGGATGGTTGAACACACTCAAGTCAATAAATGTGACACACCACATAAACAGAATTAAAAACAAAAATCACATGATCATCTCAATAGATGCAAAAAAAACATTCAACAAAATCTGGCATCCTTTATGATTAAAGCTCTCAGCAAAATCGGCATACAAGGAACATACCTCAATGTAATCAAAGCCATCTATGAGAAACCCACAGCCAACATAATACTGAGTGGGGAAAAGCTGAAAGCATTCCCTCTGAGAACTGGAACAAGACAATGATGCCCACTCTCACCACTTCTCTTCAACACAGTCCTGAAAGTCCTAGCCAGAGCAGTCAGACAAGGGAAAGAAATAAAGGTCATCCAAATCGGTAAAGAGGAAGCCAAACTGTCACTGTTTGCTGATATGATTGTATACCTAGGAAACTCTAAAGACTCCTCCAAAAAGCTCCTAAAACTGATACAAAAATTCTGCAATATTTCTGGATACAAAATTAATGTACACAAATCAGTAGCTCTCCTATACTCCAACAGTGACCAGGCTGAGAATCAAATCAAGAACTCAATCCCTTTTACGACAGCTGTAAAAAAAAAAAAAAAAAAAACAAACTTAGAAATATACCTAGCCTAAGGAGGTGAAAGACCTCTACAAGGAAAACTACAAAACTCTGCTGAAAGAAATCACAGATGACACAAGCAAATGGAAACACATCCCATGCTCACGGATGGGTAGAATCAATATTGTGAAAATTACCATACTACCAAAAGAAATCTATAAATTCAATGCAATTCTCATCAAAATACCACGAACATTCTTCACAGAACTAGAAAAAAAATCTTAAAATTCATATAAAACCCAAAAAAAGCCTGCATAGCAAAAGCGAGACTAAGCAAAAAGAACAAATCTTGAGGCATCACATTACCTGATTTCAAACTATACTATAAGGCCAAAGTCACCAAAACAGCATGGTACTGGTATGAAAATGGGCCCATAGACCAATGGAACAAAATAGAGAACCCAGAAATGAACCCAAATACTTACAGCCAATTGTTCTTCGACAAAGCAAACAAAAACATCAAGTGGGGAAAGGACACCTTATTGAACAAATGGTGCTGGGATAATTGGCTAGCCACATGTAGGAGAATGAAACTGGATCCTCAACTCTCACCTTATACAAAAATCAACCAAGATGGATCAAGCACTTAAAACTAAGACCTGAAACTATACAAATTCTAGAAGATAATATTGAAAAAAACCTCCTAGACATTGGCTTAGGCAAGGATTTCATGACCAAGAACCCAAAAGCAAAATGCAACAAAAACAAAGATAAATAGCTGGGACCCAATGAAACTAAAGAGTGTTTGCACGGCAAAAGAACAGTCAGCAGAGTAAACAGACAACCCACAGAGTGGGAGAAAATCTTCACAATCTATGCATCTGACAAAGGACTAATATCCAGAATCTACAACAAACTCATACAAATTAGCAAGAAAAAGAACAAACAATCTCATCAAAAAGTGGGCTAAGGACATGAGTAGACAATTCTCAAAAGAAGATATACAGCTGGCCAACAAACATATGAAAAAATGCTCAACATCACTAATGATCAGGGAAACGTAAATCAAAACGCCAATGTGATACCACCTTATATCTGCAAGAATGGCCATAATCAAAAAATCAAAAAATAATAGATGTTGGCATGGATGTGGTGAACAGGGAACACTTCTTTTTTTTTTTTTTTTTTTTTTTTTTTTGAGACGGAGTCTGGCTCTGTAGCCCAGGCTGGAGTGCAGTGGCGCAATCTCGGCTCACTGCAAGCTCCGCCTCCCAGGTTCACACCATTCTCCTGCCTCAGCCTCCCGAGTAGCTGGGACTACAGGCGTCACTGTGTTAGCCAGGATGGTCTCGATCTCCTGACCTCGTGATCCACCCTCCTCGGCCTCCCAAAGTGCTGGGATTACAGGCTGGAGCCACCGTGCCTGGCCTGAACAGAAAACACTTCTACACTGCTGATAGGAATGTAAACTAGTACAACCACTATGGAAAACAAGGTGGAGATTTTTTTAGAGAACTAAAAGTTGAACTACCATTTGATCCAGCAATCCCACAATCCCACAATGGGTATCTGCCCAGAGGAAAATAAGTCATTATATGAAAAAGATACTTGCACACACGTTTATAGCAGCACAATTCACAATTGCAAAAATGTGGAACCAACCCAAATGCCCATCAATCAATGAGTGGATAAAGAAACTACTCAGCCACAAAAAGGAATGAATTAATGGCATTCACAGCAACCTGGATGCGATTGAAGATTATTATTCCAAGTGAAGTAACTCAGGAATGGAAAACCAAACATCGTATGTTCTCACTCTTAAGTGGGAGCAAAACTATGAGGATACAAAGGCATAAGAATGACACAATGGACTCTGGGGACTCGGGGAAAGGGAGGGAAGAAGGTGAGGGACAAAAAGCTACAATTTGGGTGCAGTGTGTACTGCGTGGGTGATGGGTGCACATTTGCTCCTTTTAAAATGATACTATTATTATTTTGCTGTTGTTTGAGTTTCTTGTAAATTCTAGCTATTAATCCCTTATCAGATGAATACTTTGCAAATACTTTCATTCTCTAAGTTGCTGTTTTATCTCTGTTGATTGTTTTCATTGCTGTACAGGAAATTTTTAGTTTGATGTAGTCCCATTCATACATTTTTGCTTCTCTTGCCTGTGCTTTCAAGGTCTTAATCACAAAATCTTTCCTGCGTCCAACACTCTAAAGTGTTTTCTGTATGTTTTCTCCCAGTAGGTTCATAGTTTTGGGTCTTGCATTTAAGTCCTTAACTCATTTTCAGTTGATTTTTGTGAATGGTGAGAGATAGCAGTCTAGTTTCATACTTCCTAATATGGATATCCAGTTTCCCCAGCATCATTTATTGAAGAAACTGCCCTTTCCTCAGTATATGTTCTTGGTGATTTTGTTAAAAATAAATTGAGTGGCTGGGCACGGTGGCTCACGCCTGTAATCCCAGCACTTTGGGAGGCTGAGGCAGACGGATCACGAGGTCAGGAGTTTGAGACCAGCCTGACCAACATGGTGAAACCCCGTCTCTACTAAAATACAAAAATTAGCCAGGCGTGATGGCACACGACTGTCATTCCAGGCTGAGGCAGGAGAATCGCCTGAACTCAGTAGGTGGAGGTTGCAGTGAGCCGAGATCGCACCACTGCACTCCAGCCTGGGTGACAGAGCGAGACTCCGTCTCAAATAAAAAAAAAAGAAAAAAGAAATTAACTGTAAATATATGGATTTATTTCGGGGTTCTCTATTCTGTCTCATTGGTTTATGTGTCCGTTTTTATGCCAATACCTTGCTTGCCATTTTGGTTACTATAGCTGTATATTTTGAAGTCAGGTACTGTGATACTTCCAGCTTTGTTCTTTTTGCTCAAGATTGTTTTAGCTATTCAGGGTCTTTTGTGGTTCCATACAAATTTTAAGATTTCTTTTTCTATTTCTATAAAGAATGACATTGGTATTTTGATAGGTATTGCATTGAATCTGTAGATTGGTTTGGGTAGTATGGTCACTTTAACAATATTAATTCTCCCAATCCATGATAATGGAATATCTTTCAATTTTTTGTGTCCTTTTCTATTTGTTTCATTAGTATTTTATAGTTTTCATTACATACTTGGTTAAATTTATTCCCATGCTTTTTTATAGTTACTGTGAATGAGATTTCTTTCTTGATTTTTCATCATTTTGAGTTTGCCTCTATGGCCTTTATTGTGTTTAGGTACATTCCATCTATACCTAATTGGTTGGAAGTTTTTATCATGAAGTGATATTGAATTTTATCAAATGCTTTTTCTGCAGCTATAGAGATGATAATATTAGTTTTGTCTTTCATTCCACTAATATGCTCTATCATGTTTATTGATTTGTATGGAAAGTCTACAGTTTTTTTATGTTGATTTTATATTCTGTAAATTTACTAAATTTGTTTATCAGTTCTGAGAGTTTTTTGATGGAGTCTTTAGGTTTGTGTATAAATAAGATTATGTCATCTGCAAACAGCAACAATTTGACTTCCTCTTTTCCAATTTGGATGCCTTTTATTTCCTTCTCTTGCCTAATTGCTCTGGGTCGGACCAGTACTATGTGTTTTTGTTGTTGTCATTGCTGTAATCTTTTAAAATTTTCTATCCATTTCCATAGGAATCAGTCTAGTACTATGTTAAATTTGGTAAAAGCAGGCATCCTTATCTTGTTCCAATTCTTAGAGGGAAATCTTTCAACTTTTTTTCCATTATGTATGTTGTCAACTATCGAATTGTCATATGCAGCCTTTATTGTATTTAGGTACATTTCATCTATACCTAGTTGGTTGAGAGTTTTTAATCATGAAGTGATGTTGAATTTTACCAAATGCTTTTTCTGCATCTAGAGATGATCATTTTATTTTTGTCCTTCATTCTGTTGATATGATCTATCACGTTTATTGATTTGCAGATATGTAACCATTCTTGCATCCCTGGAACAAATCCCATTTGATCATGGCATATAATCTTTTTGATGTGTTGTGGATTTAGTTTGCTACTATTTTGTTAATTTTTGCATCTGTGTTTATCAGCGTGTAGTTTTTTGTTGTTGTATCCTTCCCTGGTTTTGATAACAAGGTAATGCTTGCTTCCTAGAATAAATTTGAAAGAACTCCTTCCCCCTTCAATTTTTTGGAATAGTTTCAGATGAATTGGTGTCAGTCTCTCTTTAAATGTTTGGTGGAACTGAACAATGAAGGCATCCAGTACTGGGCTTTTCTTTGTTGGGAGACTTTTTATTCCTGATTCAAGCTCATTACTCATTATTGGTATGCTCAGGTTTTTAATTTCTTCTTGGTTCATTCTTGGTATATTTTATGTGTCCAGGTTAAACTTCAGTTGCCTTTATAATCTAATGAGAGCTATGGACCAAAATTTTGGGTAAAGCACTTTCCGTGGCAGTTAGATTTTTTAAAAAAACTTCTTTCGGGCCGGGCGCGGTGGCTCACGCCTGTAATCCCAGCACTTTGGGAGGCCGAGGCGGGTGGATCATGAGGTCAGGAGATCGAGACCATCCTGGCTAACAAGGTGAAACCCCGTCTCTACTAAAAATACAAAAAATTAGCCGGGCGCGGTGGCGGGCGCCTGTAGTCCCAGCTACTCGGGAGGCTGAGGCAGGAGAATGGCGTGAACCCGGGAAGCGGAGCTTGCAGTGAGCCGAGATTGCGCCACTGCAGTCCGCAGTACGGCCTGGGCGACAGAGCGAGACTCCGTCTCAAAAAAAAAAAAAAAAAAAAAAAAAAAAAAAAAAACTTCTTTCATTGCCCCCACCTTTTTTGTTGTTGTTGTTTCAAGTGAGTTATGGGTTTCTTTTTAACTGAATTGTATAAGCAAAATATCTCCAAGTAGCCTTGAATTAGTAACAAATCAATCTTTTGTTTACCAGTCTTGTTTGCTTAATTAGCAAATGTGGGGAGGGAAGAATTTTAGCTGTTTTTTTTTCTTCACCTTTTTCTTTTTGGCTTTTGCATGGCACAAAAAACAAAATTTTTCTGTTGAACAGGGATACCTTCTATTATTGCTCTGAGATCAAGATTTTGACCTATTTGGTCTGAGAGCCTAACTTTTATAAACATTTATTTTTTTTTCTTTTATGTTACTAATTTTTCAATTAAGTGTTTCATTATTGTACACAGTTGTTAGGGAAACCTAAATTTATATTTATAAAAGGTGTCAGCCAGGTGCGGTGGTTCACGCCTGTAATCCCAGCACTTTGGGAGGCCGAGGCAGGCAGATCACAAGGTCAGGAGATTGAGACCATCCTGGCTAACACGGTGAAACCCCGTCTCTATCAAAAATACAAAAAATTAGCCGGGTGTGGTGGCGGGCACCTGTAGTCCCAGCTACTCAGGAAGCTGAGGCAGGAGAATGGCGTGAACCCGGGAGGCGGCGCTTGCAGTGAGCCCAGATCAGGCCACTGTACTCTAGCCTGGGGGACAGAGTGAGACCCCATCTCAAAAAAAAAAAAAAAAGGTGTCTAGGTGGTTGATTACCATGGAGCTATTGTAATCTGTAAAGCCATTAATTTCAAAGCCTTTAAGGCTGTTTTCTTTCCTTGACTGAAATGCCATAAGCAGTGAGTTTTATCTCAACACCTGTAGAAATGTCATCATGTTCAAAGTAGGCAGAAAAAAAAAGAGAGAGAGAGAGAGAACTTCTACATGTTAACTCTATAATTGCTGGTTTTTAAAAATAATGACCATTTCAGTTCTGAATTTTCCTTCATTTTGCCTATCTACTTATAAATGTGCACAAGAAAGTTAACATTGATTTTGAACATTTCAAACCAATTAATACATCATTGTATTTGTGTGACAACAAATTCCATACAGAAGCTCTTACAGCACTACTTTCAGATGAAAGCAAGTCTGGATTCATCGTAATAGATGGTAGTGGTGCACTTTTTGGCACCCTCCAAGGAAACACAAGAGAAGTCCTGCAAAAACTCACTGTGGATCTCCCAAAGAAACACGGTAAAGGTCAGTCAGCCTTGCGTTTTGCCTGTTTAAGAATGGAAAAGTGACCTAACAATGTTCAGAAAGTAGCAGAGACTGCTGTGCAGCTGTTTATTTCTGGGGACAAAGGGAAGGTGGCTGGTCTAGTTTTAGCTGGATCCGCTGACTTTAAAACTGAACTAAGTCAATCTGATACGTTTGATCAGCGGTTACAATCGAAAGTTTTAAAATTAGTTGATAGGCCGGGCGTGGTGGCTCATGCCTGTAATCCCAGCACTTTGGGAGGCCAAGGCGGGCGGATCACGAGGTCAGGAGATCGAGACCATCCTGGCTAACACGGTGAAACCCTGTGTCTACTAAAAATACAAAAACAAAATTAGCTGGGCGTGGTGGCGGGTGCCTGTGGTCCCAGCTACTTGGGAGGCTGAGGCAGGAGAATGGCGTGAACCTGGGAGGCGGAGCTTGCAGCGAGCCCAGATCACACCACTGCACTCCCGCCTGGGCAACACGGCAAGACTCAGTCTCAAAAAAAAGAAATTAGTTGATATATCCTATGGTGGTGAAAATGGATTCAACCAAGCTGTTGGGCTATCTACTGAAGTCCTCTCCAAAGTGAAATTTATTCAAAAGAAGAAATTAGTAGGGATACATTGATGAAATCAGCCAGGACACAGGCAGGTACTGTTTTGGTGTTGAAGATACACTAAAGGCTTTGGAAATGGGAGCTGTAGAAATTCTAATAGCCTATGAAAATCTGAATATAATGAGATATGTTCTTCATTGCCAAGGCACAAAAGAGGAGAAAATTCTCTAACTCCAGAGCAAGAAAAGGATAAATCTCATTTCACAGACAAAGAGACCAGGCAGGAACATGCGCTTATCAAGAGCATGCCCCTGTTGAAATGGTTTGCTAACAACTATAAAAAAGTCGGAGCTACATTGGAAATTGTCACATATAAATCACAAGAAGGGTCTCAGTTTGTGAAAGGATTTGGTAGAATTGGAGGTCTCTTGTGGTACCAAGTGGATTTCCAAAGAATGGAATACCAAGGAGGAGACGATGAATTTTTTTACCTTGATGACTACTAGGTAGTCGACATGGGTCCGGCAAAACATGCCTCACTCTCCAGCATCCAACCCAAGGAGCATACTCATGATGGAATCCAAACAGATCCCTGCCTTACAATTGGAACATTTCCAGAACTTAATCCATGAGCACTGGATATTGAAAAGAAAACAGAAACAAAACCAGACCCAACCCTACACTTTGGTTTGTCACGGTGTCAGCGTAGCAGCCTACAACTAAGTTCCTAAATGCCACTTTGGACTAATTTAAAAAAGAATCCCAGTTTTTACTTTTACTCGATGGTGAAATTGGCTGCTCTTGTATTTTATTTAAAAAATGATTTTTTTAACCTTTATACAAATAAGCAAAAATACTTTAACTGCTGTAAACCTTCAAAAGTTAATAGAAGTGAGATCGTACTGCTTTCTTATTTTGATTGGAGAGAAATTAAATTGCTACATTTTGCAGTGACCCATTTACATGGCATTCTCAGCTTAGACTGCATAAGAAGAAATATATGTGGTGAAATGTTGGAACCATTTCTCTCTTGGTCTCTGTTTAATGATGAAAGAGTGAGCTAATAGGAGGCAATTTCAACTTCACTCCCTCACGCTACCCCTTCCCCCTCCAGACTGGCCGTTTCAAGGATGAAAATTGCATTGCAAAATCAAACTGACTCATGAAGCATTTGGGCCAGTGCACTGTTTACTTCCATCTGTTTGCAGACACATTTGTGCCCGGTGTTTGGGAGCTCTTTGTATCAATGTTCCGACAAGGGTCCCAATAACCTTAACCTACTCGAAACCAGTTTGGGATGGATATGATGGGGCTTCTGTGCTATTGCTGGGATTGGGAGAAATAAAACATGCAATTTAAGTGGAAGCAAAACAATTAAAAATAAAATAAATAAATCCATTGCCTGATTCCATGTCTCCCTCCAATTACCGCCCCATTTCTCTGACACTCCTTATAGAATAATTCCTTAGTCAATTGTCTCATGATGTTTTTAATATATCAAATGGATTTATGGACAGTGTTTCAAAAGCCAAATACTTCTACAAGGCTTGTTATGAACACAGATGTCCCCAATCTTTCATGTACACCATTTCCTGAATCCTAGAGGCAATCTACTTTATTCTGCCTAATTTTTTGATCGTTACATCTGTGCCTCCAAATAGTGTGTTATAGTGCCGTTTTGTTTTTCACTCTTATGTATCATCCTTAGTGTATAGCTCCCTTTCATATACCCCTCTCCTCTCAATATAGTTATTTTATAATTTTGGTTAGCTGGGTGCTCACTATTTATATTATTATGACCACAGAAATGCTATTCACAGCTAGACTAGGAAATGCTATTCACAATTAGATTAGGAAATGCTGTTCACAATTAGATTAGGAAATGCTATTCACAAGGATTATTTTCCTTCCTGGAATTGACTTTTTAATTTCCCTGGAATTAATAAATGTTTTATCCCTTCATGTGCTTAATTTCTGTTGTACTCATTATAAAATCTCTTCCAAATTTCCCTCCAAGGCCTCTGCTATAGTTTGAATGTGTTCCCCAAAGTTCATGTGTTGGAAACTTGATCCCCAATGCAGTGATATTGGAAAGTAAGGCCTAATAGAAGCTGTCTGAGTCATGAGCGCAGAGCCCTCATGAACAAATTAATATCATTATTATGGGAGTGAGCCCATAATAATAATATTGTCCTCTCTCTTGCCCTTGACCCACTTGCCATGTGAAGACACAGCAAGAAGGCTCTTGCCAAATGCTGGTGGCTTGATCTTGGATTCCTAGCCTCACAACTGAGAAAACAAATTTCTGTTCTTCATAACTGACCCAGACTATGGCATTCTGTTATAGCAGCATAAATGAACTAAGACAGTCTCCATGAATATATTCAACCATGCCCCGTGTTCTACCAACCTCATCTTTGTGAAGACACTTCCCTTGGTCCTGCCACACGTGGACTGGTGCATGCACATCTGGGCTGATTTCCAAGATCGTCTTCACCTCATCCTGGGCATCCCTCTGCCTCTCTCTTATGCTGGCTCTCCTATTGCCTGGATCCCATGTGTCCCCTTTTTTGGTTTTCTCCATCGTTTTTGTTTCTCATTTCATCCGTGTTCCTAAGGGAACATGGAAAGTAAAATCTGAAAGCCTAAGCTTCTGAAAATGTCTTCGGGCTACCCTAGCACTTATTCCAACCTGGACTTGGTATGGAATTCTGTATTGAAAACATTTTTCCTAGGAATTTCCATGACATTCCATCAACATTTTTTAGCTTCTAATGTTGTTTTTCTTGCCTTTTGATGTTTTTGGGATTTCTTCTTTTCCACCCACCTTCTAAAATTTCATTGTGATGTGTCTTGGTGTGGGTCTGTTTTCATCTACTATAGTAAGAACTTGGTTGGGGCCATTACAAGTTAAATTTTTGTCTGTAAACTTGGAGAAATTTTTTTATTTTAAATAATTTCTATCTTTCCATTCTTTTAGAATTTGTATTATTAAGTTGCAGGAAATCCTTGACTGATAGCCTAGTATTCGTATAGTTTTTCTGTCTTTCTTGACATTGTTTTTCCATTTTTAATATTTAGTGGTAGTACAAATTTACTCTTCCAAGTGATCTATTGAAATACTTATTTAAATGATCACTTTTTGATTTCCAAGAGTGCTTTTTGGTTCTCTGATTGTATATAATTTTATAAAATCCTATTCATCATTTATAAATGCCATATCTTATTATTTCTTTTAGGTATTATTGAGAATAGTGGTAGTGGACCTGTTAGATCTCCTGGTTATCTGCTTTCATGGTACCATGAACTTTTCTTCACCACACTTAGCTCAGCAGTAATTTTATATTTCTCTTTGTAAGTTCTGCTAAATGTGCATCTCCTTCATGACAGTGCAAACATCAAATTGCCAGCATCTTACTTTTGCTCTTCACTGTATCTTCAGGGTCTAGTAGATCACATGATTCATCAGAGGACTTGAAATACATGCTGAATGAGGAAATATAAGTGTGGTTAGGCAGGGAAATCAGACTTCCTTGATCAATTGCCCCTTGATGTTCTCCTGAGCACTGTATCTCATGACCTCCTGTCATAGAACATTCAGGGACATTGAAAGAGTTCACTGGCATGGGATACAGCGTCATATCCACCACCAGATGGACAGGGAATCAGTGAAAGATGATTCCATTAAGAGAAAATTCCCTGGGTCCACTCCACCCCCACCACCTGCTTAACCTCTCTGAGTCTCCCTTTCCCTGTCTATACAAAGATATCACATATCGGGCTTCTCATGGGTTTGCATTGAAGATCAAATTTGACTCTCTCAGTAAAACACATGGTATTATACCTTGAGGTATATTAAGTGTTCTGCTACTCATAGCTACTATCCCTATATTGATTACAGCATTTGGATTGTTTCAATCATTTTGCTTTTATAAACCAAAATTCAAGAAACATCCTTGAACATATATTTTTTAGAATGTGTGCAGTTATCTTCTTAGGAAAAATTCTTGAAAGAGAAATATATGCATTGAAATGTAAGTCCATTTATATTGTTAACATGTTTCGCAAAAGTCCCCTCTAGAAATTTATACCCCAGAGTTTTTTGTTGTTGTTTTGTTTTGTTTTGTTTTTGAGACAGAGTCTTGCTCTGTTTCCCAGGCTGGAGTGCGGTGGCACGATCTCGGCTCACTGTAAGCTCCGCCTCCTGGGTTCACACCATTCTCCTGCCTCAGCCTCCCAAGTAGCTGGGACTACAGGCGCCTGCCACCACGCCCAGCTAATTTTTTTTTAATATTTTTAGTAGAGACGGGTTTCACCGTGTTAGCCAGGATGGTCTTGATCTCCTGACCTCGTGATCCACCTGCCTCGGCCTCCCAAAGTATACCCGTTTTTCATCAGCCTTCATGACAGTGTATTTTCCCTACCTCTGGATAATATGCTTATCATTTACTTTCACATATGCCAAACTGACAGATTTTAATTTTCATTCGCATTTCTAATGTCATGTTCTCATTTTTCCTCATATTCATTAATCAGAGTATATTGTCTGATATTTGATTTATTCTTTCCCATATTGCTTTCTAATATTATTATTTTTCTATTGGGATGACTTAAAAATGTTGAATTTGACTAAGAAAAAAAGCAGCTCTTGACTTCTGACACTGACAGTAGGTTTCAGTACTGTTAGAAGCTGTCCTACTGCTCAACACTAGGCCATATTATTCTTTTCTTGGACATAAACCATATTACACAACATCAGACAAGGACACTCTGGGAACATGATAAAACAAGACAAAACAGGGGCACTACATAATTTAGTATAAGCACAGACAAAAACCAAGGCACTGTGTACCTCACAAAATACCAAACCTCTCCCCCTGCTGGCTAATATGAGTGACGGCTGTTTCTTTACCAGCCACAACTTTATCCTTGCTCTGCTCTGCATTTATTATGGGTAAGATTTATTGAGACAGTCGTAGAAATGTTCCTGCTTTTTGACAACACCCCATCTACAGTCAACCCCTACCTCATTAGCTCTCCCCAAAAACATCCACTAAAAGACCAAATCCTATATTGCATTTTTTCTAATATCCTCACGCTAAGATGGTGTGCATTCTCTCTTGTGACAATGAGTAATAAACCCCAGTTGTTCAGCTATAGATGTTCCTGGTGGTCTTTGGCTGAAAGACATTGAAATATGCTACCTTTTGTCTTTCCAATTATTTATGTGTCTTTGAATTTGATCACAGGCATATGTTTGTATATTTGTGAGTCTGTGGTTGACATAGAGAAGTTTTATTTTTTTATTTATGGCTTTTCATATTTGGGTCATGCTTACAGAATCCTTTTCTACCTCACAATTGTAAAACTTAACATCTATTTTCATCTAGGTACAGATGATATGAAGAGAGGGAAGTCCCAGAGTGAAGAGAAACACACAGATATGTTTGATTTGGGGAGAAAGCTGGGGGGAATGAGCAAGAAGCAAAGAGTTCTAAGGTGGAGTTTTAACATTTAAAACCTGGTCAGGTGTGGTGGCTCACGCCTGTAATCCTAGCACTTTTGGAGGGCAAGGTAGGCAGATCACTCGAGGTCAGGAGTTCAAGACCAGCCTGGCCAACATGGTGTATTCACCAAAAAATACAAAAACTAGCCAGGTGTGGTGGTGTGTGCCTGTAGGCCCAGCTACTTGGGAGGCTGAGGTGGAAGAATCACCTGAACCTGGGAGGCGGAGGTTGCAGTGAGCCATGATTGCCCAACTGCAATCCAGCCTGGGTGGCAGAATAAGACTCTATCTCAAAAATGAAAAAGTTTAAATCATTTGCTTATAATTTTAAAATATGTCTACAAAGCCTATAAGATATTTTATATGGCAACTTCAATAAATACTTTCTCTTGGGCTAAGTAATGACTTATATACCTCCTTGTGTTCACCAGGTTATAGAAAACAGTAACACCAAGAGTCTCAATGAAATATTGACAAGGATTAGCTCTGGTGATAAGCATTTTTGAAAATGTATGACCTTGAGTTGATAAATCATGTTTTGGTAATCTATACGTACACTCTAATTGTTAAAATACATATTGAACTTTCTTGGGCCTGCTGTATTTTAGGGATATGTCTAAGACCCACATAGCCAAATCCATGGGTTCTATGTGAAGGTAATTTTAATGTATTTCAATCTGGGAGTCACAAGGTATCTTTTTTTGTGGGGGAGATTGAAAACTAAGAGCACTCTAGATAAGCACTATCAAAAATGGTAACTACTAGCTACACATGGCTATTTATATTTCAATTAATTGAATAAAACTTTTAAAAAATCAACTCTTTATCACACTAGCCACATTCCAAGTGCTCAATAACCACATGTAACTAGTGGCTCCCATATTGGACAGTGCAGATATAGATCAATTTCATCATCACAGAATGTTCTATTGAACAGCACTACTGCTATAGAGATTTTTATGCTCCTCCCAAAATAAAACCTAATCCCCAGTGAGATGATATTTGGAAGTGGGTTTGTTTTAGAGGAAGTGATTATGTCATGAGGTCAGAACTCCCATGAATTGAACTTGTACCCTTATAAAAGAGATTCTAGAAAGCTGTTTTGGCCCTTCTGCCATGGGAGGATGCAGTGAGAGGACAGCTATGAAGAAGCAGGCCCTCACCAGACACAGAGTTAGCTGACACCTTGATATTGGACCTCCCAGCCTCCAGCACTGTGAGAAATATCTTTCTTTTGTTTATAAGCCACCTAATCTAGGGTATTTTTGTTATAGCAACCTGATGGATTAAGATAACTGCTCTTGGTGCTATGTGGGCCTCAAGTCAAGTGCATTAGACACATCTAAAATGAAAGGGTGACTGGTTGTGGTGACTTACGCCTGTAATCCCAGCACTTTGGGAGGCCAAAGCAGGAGGATCGCTTGAGCTCAGAAGTTTGAAACCAGCCTGGGGAACATAGCAAGATCCCATCTCTACAAAATATTTTTTAAAATTAGCTCTACAAAATATATAATTTTTAAAATTAGCTGGACATGCTGGCAAGTGCCTGTAGTTCCAACAGCTTAAGAGTCTGAGGTGGGAGGATGGCTTGAGCCCCCCGAGAGTTCGCCACTACAGTGAGCCATTATCATGCCACTGCACTCTAGCTTGGGTGACACTGTGAGACCCCATCTTGGAAAAAACAGAAATGAAAGGGCCAATATTATTTCTCATAGAGATTGCAAATTCAAAGTGGGTCAGGAGTGAAATCTCTATTTTGTGCTTTTAGGCGCAAACCATTCCCAGCTCCAAAATGGAAACACATTTGCCACCTCTGTTCCCAGACTAAGGACACTCTCTGCATCCAATTTACAGGTGATAGGTTCTCTTCTATAAGAGCCCAGGGCAAGGCAAACTTAGCGCTAGCTAAGTTTTGGGATGCAGGGAGTCCTGCTCGGGGAGAAAAATTTGGGAAAATGAAGAGGCAAAGGGGCCAGTCAAGAACTCTCCACAGCTTACCCAGAACAGGATTTCTCAAAGTGCAATCTGTGGAACCCTTGTGGGCTGCTGAAACCCCTTCATAGATCCACAAGGTTAAAAGTATTTTTATAATACAATGAAGACATTATTTGTACTAAAGTAAAACTTGACAAGAAGGGAGGCTATGGTACCAAACTGAAATAGTAGTTATTATATTCTTAACCACTTCTTAATTATAGAAGAAAAAACAGGTTTCACTTAAATATGTCGTGGTTGAAGTATCAAAGAATTATTAACTTTATTAAATCTCTATCCCAGAATCCACAGTTTAATATATCTTAAATGAGTAAGTGGGAAGTACGCATAAGGTATTTCTACTACATTCCAAATTAGGATGTTTGAGGCCAGGCGCAGTGGCTCCCACCTGCAATTAATTCTAGCACTGTGGGAGGCCTAGGCAGGTGGATCATTTGAGGTCAGGAGTTCAAGACCAGCTTGGCCAACATGGTGAAACCCTGTCTCTACTAAAAATACAAAATTAGCCAGGCATGGTGGTGCGCACCTGTAGTCCCAGCTACTAGGGAAACTGAGTCACAACAATCACTTGAACCCGGGAGGTGGAGGTTTCAGTGAGCCAAAATCATGCCACTGCACTCCAGCCTGGGTAACAGAGCGAGACCCTGTCTTAAAACGAAAACAAAAACAAATTAAAATGTTTGTGTCCACAAAATCATTTTGTGAGTTGTACTAGTCTATTTTTTATGGAATATCCTTTTTACTTGAAAGAATGAATGACAGAAATGATTATCATTTAGACTTGAATATTTGGCTGACACTTTCTCAAAAACGAACATAACCCTGTCCCTTCCACATAATCAACTGATGGTATTATTCCCAATGATAAAAGGCAAGCTCTCAAGAGAAAATTAGAATCCTGGGGAACTTGTATCCACCATCATAAGCCTGATGGCTTCCCAATACTTAACAATCTTTTCTGGTAATATCTGTGGTAATATTAAAAAATGTGATTTTTTGATAACTTGTAGTTAAATGTGTCAACACTGGAAGACATAATGTGGTGAAATTGTGTTTCTTTTTTTAAAAGTCATGTATTATACAAGAAGCATTCAATGTGGAAGTCGGACCTATATATTTTAATGTAACAGCATGTGAAATAGTTATTGATAGTTTCATGTTCCACATTACAAATAACCTTTAAGAAGCTAACACTTCTATCATTTTAGTGTAGTATCAAGGATGAATATCCAGTTTTCTAAAAATGTTATTAAAAACATTCCTGGCCTAGCGAGGTGACTTATACCTGTAATCCCAGCATTTTGGGAGGCCAAGGCAGGAGAATCATTTGAGCCTAGGAGTTCCACCCAGGAGTTCGAATGAGACCCCCATCTCTACAAAAAATAAACAAAATTAGCTGCGGTGGTGTTTCGTGCCTGTGGTCACAGCTGCTCATGAGGCTGAATTGGGAGGATCACTTGAGCCCAGGAATTCGAGGCTGCCGTGTGCTATGATCACACCACTACACTCAAGCCTGGGTGATAGCATGAGACCAAAAGAAACAAACAAACAAACAAAACCCCCCAACAAAACCCAAAACAAGAACAGCAACAAAAATATCATTGTGTGAGGATGGATTTTTTTTCATACACTTCAACCAAACATAACAGATTAACCAAAATAACAGATTAAATGAAGGAGAAGAAAATTCATTAATCTTCTAATGAGACACATAAGAAAAGGATTTACAAACATACAAAATGTAAAAAGATGCACTCTTCTCACTATACTGTTTACTTTGGGAAATACTGACTTTGCATAAAAATATTTCTAACATGCAATGCATTATTAATATTCTAAATGAATAAAATAATTTAAGTGATTTTAGTTTCTAATATGGTAAATATTAACGTATATAACTCACATAAAATTATCTTCAGAGTCCTCACTAATTCCTAAGAGCATGCAGAGATCCTGAAACCAAAACGTTTGAGAAACGATGACGTAACTCCTAGCTCTGGATTAAGGGAGAATGTGTGACAAAGAGCATTTGGTATAGGAGGAGAAGGGCCAGGCCTTATCCTGTCTCTAGGACTGTGGCAAGGGCTTTGTGTGACCAGGTCAGCCTAGGCTCAGGCTTAGGTCTGGCCCTCAGCCCCCATCTTGTTCATTGTTTTGTTTTGACAGAAGACTATGCCTGTTCTTCTTCTTGTATCTGAGTTCTGGTCTCCAAGTCTCCAATCTCCTCTAGGACAGCCGTAGGAGTTACTTTTTCTGTCATTGTCCTCACAAGCCCTGGGGTGGCCCCTGCACACAGGAGTCTCTGTGGTATCAAGAGACCAATTTTTAGACCCACCCAGCTCTTGTCCTTCCAGGGCTGTTTCCTGGACTATTCTTCGCATCTTTTCCCCAATCTTTTTCAGGAAATCAAATTCTGGAATTAGAGATCATATCTCGGTTTCTCACCTTAGATAAACTCCTGTTAGGTTTCTAACAGGAATTTATTTTTGGCTCACCTACCCTCTCTCCCTGCCTTTGGCTGTAATAATCCTAGTGCTGGCTCAAATCCAAACTCATGGATGTCTAGACTCTAATTTAATTCACAGTTGGTTGGAAAATAGGGTCCATAAGCCTAGGATCATTTTTTTTTTTCTGAAAAGGGAACTATAATTGTCTGCTGTGGTATATGAGGATTGGTGTGGGAGGGAGGCGAGAACAGCATTTGTGAGAAAAGTACAGGCAGCATTGATGTCAACATGAGTGGTTGTTTCACTGTAGCTGCCACAAAACAGCATGTGGTCTGCAGCTACATTAATAAAGATACTGTTTCTAGAATAGGGAGGTGCTGTACACTGGTCATTCATTTAGCCAATATTTGTTGAGTGCTGGCTGTATGAAATGCTAGTTTTACATCTGGAAACTAAAAACAGGCAAAAATTGCTGGCCTTGAGGGGCACATGTTTTAGTGGGAAAACACAGACTATGTACTATAAGCAGAGTAAATAAGGAAAGTGTTTCTGTCAAAAGGTGCTGAGGGGTGTGAGGCAGGTGATCCAGATTGTGGGTGTGTGGGGACAGGGAAGATGGCTGTTTTACTAGGGTGGTCTATGGTCTCACTGGGAATGTGACCTTAAGAGAAAAGATGAATTATCTATGAGGACGTCTGGGGCAGGTTCTTTCCAGGCAGGGGAACCCCCAGTGCAAAGGCACCAGAACAGGAGCACATCTGGGTTGTGGGAGGAGTTGAGGGGGCTCAGATAGCTGCAGCAGTCATTGATATAAGGTCAGAGATTTGGGGAGATCATGTAGGCTTGAGGATACTGGAAGGGTTCTGACTTTGCTCTGAGTGAGATGGGGGAGACACAAACAGCTGTCAGCAGAGTAGAGACTTGGCACATCTTTTAAAAGGATCATCCTGGCTGCTATGCTGAGAACAGAATTGAGAGATGAGGGGTGAGTGAGAAAGTGGGAAAACTGTAGGAAACTAGTGCAGTATTTCAGATTAGCAACTCTGGTTGCTTTGCCTGGGGTGTGAGCAGAGAAAAGAGTGGGAAGTGATTGGATTTCAGACACATTCTCAATATGGACTTCACAGTACTTCCTAATAGATTAAGTCTGGGGTATGAAAAAGAGGAGTCAAAGAGGAACCCCAAAATTTCAGACTGTGCAAGTAGAAAAATGAAGTTGTTGTCAGCACAGATGGGGAAAATTCTGAAAGGGGCATATTTGAGGAGGGGGCACTATAGGCATTCAATTTAGGAAATGTTGAATCTCAGATGTCAGACATTCAAGTGAGGTTGTTGTGTTGGCAGATGGATATGCAAGTTGGAAATGCAGGAGAAATGTCTGGGCTGGGAAAATAGATTTAGGAGTTAATGCCATATTAATGATATTTAAAGCATAGAGCATGCATGAGTCGCCAAGGGAAAGATGGCTATAGAAGAGAAAAAGGACATGGACTGAACCCTGGACCTTCAGTGCTAAGGGATTTCATCAGAACACACTCTGACAGCAGACTGCACAGTTCTAACACCACATCTAGAAAGTAAGTAAATCTGAGAATCTCAAATTTTAGTGTGCGTAGGAATCACCTGGACAACTTTCTAAGATTCAGGTGGTCTGGAGTTGAGAATGAGATTCTGTGTTTATAAAAAAGTTGAGGCAGACACTGATGGTCTTCAGATCACGCTTTTAGTAGCAAGAATGTAGACCAGGATTCCCAGGTGGCTGTGCATCAGCCTCACCTGTGGCTTGTTATTCCTGGGATCCATGTTCCACTTCTGAGATGGTGGGTATGGGGAAAGGCCTGAGTATTTTTGTAAAAAATCTACAAGGAATCCTGGTGATCAGCCAGATTGGGAACCACTGAGGTCAGTGATCAACAGTGCCTAGGGTGGGAAAGGGTCTTAAGTCCACATTTAAATGCTATTTTTTCTAATTTAAACATAAAGGACTTCTATCTGTCTATCTATCTATCATCTATCTTCATTAGGCTGGTGTTTATTTTATTTTGGGAAGGTCTGTGAGAATAGGCTTAAAGCTACATAGCTAGAAGCAGCATCTATAATCCCATCCTAGGTGGAGTCTCACATAGGAATCACTGCCCCTGATGCTGGGCACAGATGTCACTGTTCATACCAATGACACTCTAAAGCTAGACACTGGACCTTGCAGATAGAACTGCTATCACGACTGCTCCTGGCAACTGGACATTGCTGCTGCAACTCACACCACACTTACTAAAATGTGTGCACAGTACCAGCTTATGTCACCAGGCTGAGTCAGAATCCAGCAAGTGGTTATCTGCCTGGTGGAACCTAAGCCTCATCCCATATCCAGCTGCCAGAATATTTGGAAAAGTGAGTTTTTCTTTCGTGGAAGAAGTTGGTGTCTGCTTCCTACAATGACTCTTTAAGTATGAAATTCTTTAAGTATGAAATCATACTCTTTAAGTATGAAATTCTCCCTAACATGGAGAGGGTTCAGGTGCTGGGACACAGGAAGATAGAGTGGAAAAAGAATGAAAAAAAAAGTCAATTCCTAGAGCAGTAATCTGAGACTAGAACCTTATCTGGTATATCATAGACACTTGGGTTTTGCTGAATGAATCAGTGACTAATTAATTACAACTTTCAATTTATTTCCTTGATAGTCTGTTATGAAGTACAACTTTTTCCTGATCAGTTTATACTCAGATAAGTAGAGTGGCACTGTGGGATGGTGAAATGATTGCTCAAAACTTATCTCTTGTTAGGATTTTTTAAAATCTAGATGTCTAAGACTTCAGAGGACCTGTGTATACACTAAGATTTTATACTAATATTTATATTTCTTTGTATATGCACATATTTTCTGGAAAGAATATCTGTGACATTTATGTTTTTGTAACCCTATTTTAGGAAACCCTCTCTCAAACCACATTTTCCCTCTGCTCTCATACCACAACAATCATCAACACAGAAGACTTCTGTGACCAAAGATGTGGGGGTTTTTCCCCACACACCAAGCAGTGGACACCAGCTGGGTATCCTCCAGTTCAATGTCAACACTGTCTACCTGGAGATAGCATCATATCCCACAGATTGGGGGCTTAGTCCCCAAGACTACTCCACATCAGACACCAATCGCAGAAGTTCCCACCACCCACTCTGGGCTTCACTAATTTGCTGGAGTAGCTCACAGAATTCAGGGAAACATTTATGTTTACTAGTTTATTATAAAGGATATTACAAAGGATACAGATGAAAATACGTGTAGGGTGAGGTATCAGGGAAGGAGCATGGAGCTTCCATGCCCTTCCTGGGCACACCAACCTCCAAAAACCTCCACTTGTTCAGCTACCTGGAAGCTCCCTGAACCCAGTTCTCCTGGGTTTTTATGGAAGCTTCGTGACACCAGCATTCCTTCTCCCAATGTATAGTGTGGGACCCTCTCCAGAGAGGGTCTTAAGACCCATAATCAGAAAGGCAGAAGATTAGAGTCCTGCCTTGGGGCAGGTGAAATGAGGCCAGAAGAGAGATTCTGATTCCTGAGGCCTGCCGAGGCCGAACACACCCAATATTATTACAAAAGACCGAAACAAGGGAATATAGGAGCTAGGAACCAGGAACTGTGGCCAAAAACCAATCTATAACACCACACACCCCCACTGTCTTAGTCCACTCAGGCTGCTATAACAGAATACCTTAGACTGGGTGGCTTATAAACAACATAAAAGTATTTCTCACAGTTATGGAGGCTGGTAAGTCCAAGAGCAAGGTGTTGGTTAATTTCATGTCTGATGAAGGCCCCTTTCCTGTTTCATAAACGTATATCTTCTCCAAGTGGCCTCACATGGCAGAAAGGTGAAGAGAACTGCCTGGGGTCTTTCTGATAAAGGCAGTGATCCCATTCATGGGGGCTCTGCATTCATAACCTAATCACCTCCAAAAGGCCCCACCTCTAAGTATCATCACACTGGGGATTAAGTTTTAAACATAGGAATTTGGGTGGGGGATTGGAGACACAAACATCAGTCTAGAGCATCCATAAAAGTCTAAAAAATTATCCTAGGTTTGTCACCATGCTACTCAAACTCTGATCTATGAATAGCTGATATCAAACCATTTCTTCACAAACTCTCCCAAAAAGGAGAAAGGAACACTGCCCAACATATTCTATAAGGTATGTTCTATAAGGCTGGTACCAAAAGCAGACAAAACAATCACAAAAAAACTACAGATCGCTATTCATGAATATAGATGTGAAAATCTTCAAGAAAATACTAGCAAACAACCCAGCAATGTACAAAAATAATTATACACCATGACAAAGTGAGATTTATCCTAGGAATGCAAGATGGGTTTAATATCCAAAAATCAATTAATGTAATATATTATATCAATAGAATAAAAACCCACAATTATCTCAATAGATGCAGAAAAAGGTTTTGATCAAATTCGATACTCTTTCATAATAGAAACAGTCAACAGGTGGGCACATTGGCATGTGTCTATAGTCCCAGCTACTCAAGGAGACTGAGGAAAGAGAATCACTTGAGGCCAGAAGTTCGAGGGCATCTTGGGCGATGTGTTGAGACCATGTTACTTTAAAAAAAAAAGAGTCAACAAACTGGGAATTGAAAGGAACTTTCTCAGCCGGATAAAGGGCATCTATAAAAAAGCTACAGCTAACATCATACTCGTATTAGTCCATTTATGCATTGCTTTAAAGAAATACATGAAACTGGATAATTTATAAAGAAAAGAGGTTTAATTGGCTAAAGGTTCTGCAGGCTATACAGGTTTCTGCTCCTGGGGAGGCCTCAGGAAACACAATAATGGTGGAAGGTGAATGGGAAGTTAGTACATCTTACATGGCTGAAGCAGGAAGAAGAGAGAAGGGGGAGGTGGCACACATGTTTAAAAAGCCAAATCTCACTACAAAATCTCAACGAAAATTCACTATCATGAGAACAGCAAGGGGGAAGTCCACCCCCATGACCCAATCACCTCCCACCACACCCTTCCTCCAACACTGGGGACTACAGTTTGACATAAGATTTGGGCGGGTACACAAATCCAAACCACATCAATATTTAATGGTGAAAGACTGGTCGCTTTCCTCCTAAGATCAGCAATTAAAACAAGAATATCCACTCCCACTATGTCTATTCAACATTACCAAAGGTTCTAGCTAAGATAATTAGACAAGAAAAAAGCAATAAAGTATATTCAGATTGGAAAGAAAGAAGTAAAACTATATTCACAGATGACATGATCTTTTATATAAAAAAATGCTAAATGATCCATTAAAGAGCTATTAGAACTACTAACTTCAGCAAGGATAAAGGATATAACACCAGTATACAAAAATCAATTGTATTTCTAAACCCTTGCAATGACAAATCCAGAAATGAAATTAAGAAAACAATTCCATTTGTAATAGCTTTAAAGGAACAAAATACTTAGAAGCAAATTTAACAAAAGAAGTGCAACTCAAACATCAATGAAAGAAATTAAAAATCTAAATAAATGGGGTAAAGTTCATGGATTAGATTTAATATAACTCAATGATTATATTTCCAAACTGATAGATTCAGCACAATCCCTATCAGATTCCTAAATGACTTCTTCGTAGAAATTTGCAAACTAATTGTAAATTTATAAAGAAATTAAAGGGACGCAGACTACGCAAACAATCTTGAAAAAAAGAACAAAGGGCCAGGCACAGTGGCTCATGCCTGTAATCAATCGCAGCACTTTGGGAGGCCGAGGCAGGAGGATTGCTTGAGGCCAGAAGTTCAAGACCAGCCTGGGCAACACAGCAAGATCCTGTCTCTACAAAAAATAAAAATTAGCGGGGCATGGTGGTACACACCTGTCATCCCAGCTACTTGGGAGGCTGAGGCAGGGGGATTGCTTTAGCCTAGAAGGTTGAGGCTGCAGTGAGCCATGATTATGCCACTGCACTACAGTGTGGGTTACAGGGTAAGAAACTGTCTCTAAAAAATAAAAAGAAGAAAAGAACAAAGTAGAACTCATTCTTTCCAGTTTCAAAACATCGCATAAAGTAATGGTAATCAAGACAGTGTGGTACTTGCATAAGATAGACATAGATCAATAGAATAGAACTGAAATTCAGAAATAAAACCATGTGTCTACTGTCAACTGATTTTCAGCAAGGGTGCTGAGCACATTCAACGGGGGAAAGCACAGTCTTTTCAACAAATGGTACTGGGGAAACTTGATAGCCACATACAAAATGATGGAGTGGACCTTATGGTGGTTGAAGTGTGTACTCCGAAAGGTTTGTCTAAGACCTGACCACCAGTACCTGTGAACGTGAACTTATTTAGAAATGGTGTCTTTGTATATGAAATTAAGTTCAGGTTCCCAAGAAAAGATCATCCTGGATTTAGGGTGGGACCTAAATCTAGTGACTGGTGTCTTAATAAAAGAGAAGGAGATATGACATAAACAGAGAAGAGACACAGGCAAGAATGCCATGTGAAGATGAAGGCAAAGATTTCAGTGATGTATCTCCAAGCCAATGGAGCAACAACTACCAACAGCTACCAGAAGTTAGGAAAGAATCATGGAATGAACTTTCCCCCAGAGCCTCCAGAAGAAACTAATCCTGCCAACACCTGGATTTCAAACTTCTGGCCTCCAGAACTGTGACAGAATACATGTTTGCTGTTTTAAGCCATCAAATCTTGGCAATGTGTTACACAAGGTCTAAGAAACTAATACAGGCCTTTACTTCACACTATATACAAAAATAAGCTCAAAATGGAAGAAAGATCTAAATGTTAGTGGTGAAATTACAAAATTCTTGGAGGAAAACCTAGGTGATAAATCTTTATGAACTGGCCGGGTGCGGTGGCTCATGCCTGTAATCCCAGCACTTTGGGAGGCCGAGGCAGGTGGATCACAAGGTCAGGAGTTTGAGACCAGCCTGACCAACATGGTGAAACTCCGTCTCTACTAAAAATATAAAAATTAGCCGGGTGTGGTGGTGCACACCTATAATCCCAGCTACTCAGAAGGCTGAGGCAGGAGAATGGCTTGAACCCAGGAGGCAGAGGTTGCAGTGAGCCGAGATCACACCACTCCACTCCAGCCTGGGCAACAGAGTGAGACTCCGTCTCAAATATATATATATATATATATATATATATATATATTTATGAACTCAGGTTGGACAATGGATTCTTAGATATTATGCCAAAGCACAAACAAAAGATATTAGATAATATTGAGAAAAATTAGATGTCATCAAAATTAAAATGTTTATGCTTCAAAGGACACTATCAAGAAAGTGATCCACAATATATACATATATCAAAACATCACATTGTACCCCATATGTGTATTATTTACTAATTAACAGTAAACATTTAGATCAAAAAATTAAAATAGTTTTAAAAATTAAGAATTTTTTTAAAAGTGAAAAAAACCCACAGGAAAGGAGAAAAGATTTGCAAATCATACATTTAACAAGAGATGTTTCTAGAATATATAACAATCTCCTACAACTTAATTGCAAAACACACATAATCCCAATTTTAAAATGAGCAAAGGAGTCCGAGCGCAGTGGCTCACGCCTGTAATCTCAGCACTTTGGGAGGCTGAAGTGGGTGGATCACTTGAGGTCAGGAGTTCGAGATCAGCCTCACCAACATGGTAAAACCCTGCCTCCACTAAAAATACAAAAATTAGCTGGGTGTGGTGGCACACACCTGTAGTCCCAGCTACTTGGGAGGCTGGGACACAAGAATCGCTTGAACCCAAGAGACGGAGGTTGCAGTAAGCCAAGATCGCACCACTCCACTCCAGCCTGGATGACAGAGCAAGACTCCGTCTCTAAATAAATAAATAAAAATAGAATGAGCAAAAGATATGAACAGTCATTTCCCTAAAGAAGATATACAAATAGCCAATAAGTTCATAAAAAAGATGATCGACATTATTAGGGAAATGCAATTTAAAACCACAGTGAAGGCTGGGCATGGTGGCTCACACCTGTAATTCCAGCACTTTGGGAGGCCAAGGTGGGTGGATCGCAAGGTCAGGAGTTCCAGACCAGCCTGGCCAACATGGTGAAACCCCATCTCTACTAAAAATAGAAAAAATTAGCTGGGCATGGTGGCAGGTACCTGTAATCCCAGCTACTTGGGAGGCTGAGGCAGGAGAATTGCTTGAACCTGGGAGGCAGAGGTTGCAGTGAGCCGAGACCACACCACTGCACTCCAGCCTGGGCAACAGAGCGAGACTCTGTCTAAAACACACACACGCACGCGCGCGCACACACACACACACACACACACGAGATACCACTTCCCAGCCAAAGAATGGCTAGAATCAAAACATCAGATAATAAGTATTGTTAAGGATATGCAGGAATGAGAACCCTCAGACACTGCTGGCAGGAATGTGTAATTATGTAGTCACTTTGGAAGGAGTCAGGCTGTGGCTCAACTGATTAAAAATGAAGATACCATACGACTCACCCATTCTTAGGTATATGTCCAAGAGAAATAAAAATGTGTCACACAAAAATTTGTAAATGAACATTCATAGATGCATTATTTGTATTAGCCAAAAGACAGAAACAATCCAGATGTCTATAAACCGATAAATAAACAAATGTGATACATCTATGGAATACAGTATTATTTGGCCATAAAAAGCAATGAAATACTGATACATGCTATAATATAAATGACACTTGGAAACATTAAGTGAAAGAAACTAGTCACAAAAGACCATATATGATTATATTTACATATGAATTTTCCAAAATAGGCAAATCCATACAGGTAGGACATAGATTAACTCTTGCTTAGGGTTTGGGGTGATGGGGAAGGGGGAATAAGAGAGTAATAGCTATAGGGCATGGGGTTTCTTTTTCAGGCGATGATAATATTCTAAAATTGAATGCAGTGATGGTTGCACATATTTGGGAATATACTTTAAAACTTTGATTGCATACATACTTTATTTTTTTCCAGATTTATTGAAGTATAATTGACAAATAAAAATTGTACAGTGTGACTTTTTATTTGTACATAATATTTGCACATATTTATGGGGTACATGTGATATTTTGATACACACATAGTATCTAATAATGAAGTTAGGGTACATAGGATATCCGTCACCTCAAGCATTTATTTCTCTGTGTTGGGAACATTACAAGTCTTCTAGCTATTTTGAAATACACAATATATTGTTGTTAATTATAGTCACCCTACTGTGCTATCAAACACTAGAACTTATTCCTTCTATCTGACTGTACGTTCGTACCCATTAACCTACCTCTCTTCATCACCCCCCTCACACACCCACAAACACACACACACACACACACACACACACCCTTCCCAGCCTCTGGATACTATCTTTCTGCTGTTTACCTCGATTAGATCAACCTTTTAAAGCTCGCACATGAGTGAGAACATGCAATATTTGTCTTTCTGTGCCTGGCTTATTTCATTTAATATCAGAACCTCCAGTTCTGTCCATGTTAGTGGAAATGACAAGATTCCATTCTTTTTATAGCTAAATAGTATTCCATTGTGTATATATGCCGTATCTTTTTAATCCATTCATCCATTGATGGACAGTTAGGTTGATTCCCTGTCTTTGCTATTGTAAATAGTACCACAGTAAACATGGGGGTGCCAGTATCCCTTTGATGTATCGATTTCCTTACCTTTGGATAAATACCCAGTGGTGGTATTGCTGGATCACACAGATCTATTTTCAGTTTTCTAAGAAATCTCCATACTGTTTTCCATAGTGGCTGTACTAATTCACCTTCCCACCAACCGTGTGTAAGAGTTTGTCTTTATATCCTAGCTACCATTTTTGTCTTTTTAATAATAGCTATTCTAGCTAGGGTAAGATGATATATTATTGTGGTTTGCTTTAAATTTCCCTGATAATTAGTGATGTTGAGCATCTTTTTCACATACATGTTGGCCATTTGTATTTCTTAAGAAATTTCTATTCAGATCCCTTGACCATTTTTAAGGGGATTTTTTTTTTTTTTTTTTTTTTTTTTTTTTACTGTTGAATTGTGTTCCTTGTACACTCTGGATATTAGTCCCCTGTTGGATAATTTGAAAATATTGTTCCCATCTACAGTTGGTCTCTTCACTCTGTTGTTTTCTTTGCTGTGCAGATTTTTAGTTTAATATAGTCCCACCTGCCTATTTTTTGTTGTTGTTGCCTATGCTTTTGATGTCTTAACCATAAAATCTTTGCCTAGACCAATGTTCTTGAGCATTTCCCCTATATTCTCTTTTAGTAGTTTCATAGTTTCGGATCTATCATTTAAGCCTTTAATCCATTTTTGGTTGATTTTTTAATATGGTAAGAGATATGAGCCTAGCTGCAATCTTCTGCATATGGATATCCAGTTTTCCCAGCACCATTTATTGAAAAGGGTGTCCTTTCTTGGTGCCTTTGTTGAAAGTCAGTTGGCTGTAAGTATATGAAATTATTTCTGGGTTCTCTATTCTTTCCATTGGTCTATGTGTCTGTTTTAGGCCGGTACCATGATGATTTGGTTTCTACTATAACAGTTACAAAGCTATTACTATAGCTTAACTATTGGATGGGGCTCTTTTGTGGTTCCATATGAATTTTTTTTATTTTTGAGATAGGGTCTCACTTTGTCACCCAGGCTGCAACACAGTGGCGCAATACCAGCTCACTGCAGCCTTAACCTCCTGAGGTTCAAGCGATCCTCCTGCCTCAGCCCCCTAAGTAGCTGGGACTACATGCACATGCCACCACACCCAGCTAATTTTTGTAATTTTTGTAGACATTTCACCAGGAACAAATAGAAAACTTGAACAGACCAACAATGAGTAATAAGACTGAATCAGTAATTAAAAGTGTCTCAATAAAGAAAAGCCCAGGACCAGATGGCTTTCCTGTCAAATTCTACCATACATACAAAGAAAAATTAATACCAATACTTCTCAAAATATTTAAAAAAAACTGAAGAGGAAGGAATTATTCTTAACTCATTTTATGAAGCCTGCATTGCCCTGATACCAAAAGCAGAGAAGAATACAAAAAAAAAGAAAATTACAGGCCAATCTTCCTAGTGAAAATATACACAAAAATCCTGAACAAAATTTTAGCAAACTGAATCCAACAACATATCAAAAATATACCACAATTAATTGGGATTCATCCCAGGGATACAAGAGTGGTTCAACACACACAAATCAACAGACATTAACATTTTTTAATCTTATTTGAAAAGGTGGATAAAACTGAATTTGGAATTGGAAGATTTGTTTTGGGTCCCCACTCTGCCATTTCCAAACTCAGTACTCTATCAGAACTAAGTCACAGGGTGCTTGAGGGCTCAGAAGCTTTTGTCCAGCAGACAAGAAGGAACTGTTATTACACAGCCTTTGACCCTCTAGGGACTCCAGCAACCTCGTACTGAAAGGAGACTCCTTGTCTCCTTCTCTGGGGACCCTTTTGTTCAGAAATAAAACTTTCGTGCTGCAGGTGCCTTGAGGAGACGACATGTGGGTGATCTTTTCTAGAAGGCAGTGGAGTGAAAGTTTTGGGAAAAGTGACAGAAAGAGAAACAAATCCTGTACTGGAAGCTCACTGAAAACCAACTAAGTAAACAAATATTTTAGTACCTCAACTGAAATATAAGCATAAACAGAGGTTGACTATGATTGTACCTGGACAAGATGAGTAAAAAGCTAAAGTGGTCTGTTATCAGCTATTTATGTATTTTGGGCCTGTCTCCAGCAGTTAACAAATGTCCTTTCTTTCAACAAATATCTATTAAGAGGCTAACATGTGCCAGACTCTACAGAACAGGCTTACAGGCATAATGCCACAAAGGAACAGAAATCTAACAGGCTTCAAGATCAGGCCTGTCAAATAAATGTACCACAATTTATATATCATACATATATCTAGTACACAGTCACCAGAACATAAGATTAAACATGTTAATGTTTATCTAAGTATCATTTTTAAAAGAAAAATAAAACAAAAACTGGAAACAACTAAATGACATCAACAGAATATATAATTAAGTTGTGGCATATTCATGTCATGGAAATGAACTACAGTGTCACACATCAACATGGATGAATCCAAAAATAATAATGAGCAAAAGTAGTCAGTCATATACAGTATAATTCTATTTATATAAAGGCTATAAATAAGCAACTGTTAGGGATACACAGACAGTAAAATCTATAAAAGCTAGGTGACAGTTATACAAAATTCAGGATAGTGGTTGCCTCTGGCTGCAGGGGAGAGAGATATGAATGAGAGCATACGAGGCTCCTGGGATGTAGTAATGTTCCATTTCTCAGTCTGAGCAACGGGCACCTGGACATTTATTATTGTTCTTCTAAATATACATTTTCATTTGTGTATTGTATATTCTATTTCACATTAAAAAGAAAAAAGACCAAAAAAAAAACATTAAGTGTGACTCAAGATTTAAGCAGACACAGTGCAAAGAAATGAAAAGGTGGATATAATTTGAGGTAGATGATGGATGCAGGTTTGGACAAACTGAGTTCCTGAAACATAGACTTTTATTCTTAGCCGTATTAGGTGTGAAATTGCCCTGAGAGCACCAGTTGCTTTTATGCTAGATTTGGAGGGGAAAGAGGGCAGTTGAACTCAGCAATTTATGTGTCCAGCACTGAAAACCTTCATGGTAAACAATTACTAATAGGTTATATGTTAGGTTACTTTTCAGTCCCACTCAGCTCAAAGGGCTTGTCATTACCCTACTGATTTGCACTTCTAAGTCTTCTGCCTGTTGCATTCTGATGATCCATTTCTATGCAAAACATAGAATCTAAAGCTGAGACACAGCAATAGAGGACCAGAGAACAGACACAGCAACGAAGTTTCCATGAGGCAAATCAGGAGGGTAGGAATGAGATTTTGATGTGCATCCTGGCCAAATTCCAGAACTAGCAAAGAGAGGTCAGTTCCTAATTCCAATCAAAGCAAATTCAGTCATCTTATTTTCACACAGAAGTGGTCTACATTGATTTTTAAATCTCTTTAAGGGATTAGGGAGCCTCTGAAATGCAAAGGAAACTAAACTGATAGTAATGTAAAATGAACAGTGACCTATCATACCAGCAAACACTGTCAAAAACAGAAAGCTAATGGTGGGACTGGAATCTAGAACACAGAAGTTATGTTTATCCAGTGCTACACTGTGCAACAGGGTAGTCACTTGCCACATGTGGCAATTTAAATTTAAATGAAATTCAATTAAACATTCCATTCCACAGCTGCACCAGCCACATTTTAAATGCCTCAACAGCCACGTGTAGCAAGGGCTACTGTACTGAGGAGCACAGACACAGAACATTTGTATCAGTGGCTGACCTAGCAGTATCCAGGGTAAAGGGTGTTCTGCTAGTAAAGCAAGGTGGGCATCAGAATTATCACAACTTAAGCATAATATTCCTGAGGGCATCTATTTCCATTTATTTGCTTCTCTGCTTACCAACTCTGAACCCCTGCTTTCCCAACTTTCTGGTATCTGGGAAGAAAATAAACTGACTAGAAAACACAAATTTCATTCTGCTTGACAACTGTAATTCTCACTAAATTTATAAATTTGCTTTCTGATTTATCAATGAGTGCCAAAAACATGAGTTTGAGAAAGGCTGAGTTTGATTATCCCTGAGTGGATCCAAGCATTAGGAAGGTCTTGCTTAAGTGGGTGATAGGAAGTGACAAAAAAAGCTGGAAGAAACATGACAGACTATAATACTCCCTTCCCTAACCTTCCTCCTTTTCACCCTGCTCACCTGGGCCAGGTTAGAATCCGTCCTTTGTAAAGCACCCTGTACCTTTCTATTGTAACCTTTATTTACTACATTATCTGTTTATAGAGTGATCTATGCCATTAGTTGAAAATTATTCAAGGGCAGAGACTTCTCTTTATTCACCTTCAGTAACTAACATAATGCCTAGCATGTAGGAGGCTCTCAAAATTAAGTTTCTCATTCAAATAAATTGTACAGAGCAAGTTACACTTTTAGGGGCTGGCTAGTAGTTATCTGATGAAGGTATGATATTAAAGACCATATACTAAACTATAGCAATCTCATCAAAATAACCTTGGAGGGCTGGGAACAGGGAGAATAAGAGAAGTAGATTAGAACAATTCTTTATTCACCACCATTGCCCAACCCCGGTCTTTCCAAGTGGGGAAACTAACATTTATGAAACAACTAATACATACCTACACTTCACAAAAAAAACAGTCCTTCCATAAATGCCATCAAATATTATTGCCATTTTAAAGATGAGGACACTGAACACTAGAAAGGATATGCAACTTGAACAAATGCAAGTCAACTAAAAAAGTTAAGCTAATTTTCAAGTGCAGAACTATCTATCTGTATCTGATACAAATGGGAATATTCACTGAACCCTGGAGAGAACGAGCATTTGAAAAAAAAAAGGGTTCACTTAAGAGATATGATTTTATCATAACAGCATTGAAACTTTAATCTCTTATTTTTCCTATTTGACTTCTTAAAAAGGGTGGCATTGCCAAGAATTTTCTTTGATATGGTTTCACAATTGTATTCACCTTCTCTCCATTCTGAGACTTATCCATAAGAATACTCACTTTAATCCGACTTCTACTGCATGGTTGGAAAAGAAGATACGCAATAACTCTTTCAAACTCCTTTATCTCTTTTACTCTCTCATGCTTCTCATATGTAAGTAGCTGGCTCTGGCTTCTTCTCAAGATTCTCTCCTTGAGTCTTTGTTCTGCAAGTTCTCTCCCTCGAATCATGCGTTCCTGGTGATCCTTAGTCTGCATCTGTTCCCTCTCATTTACCTGCTTTCTTCTCTGTGCGTTCTGGATGCCATGCCCTTCTGGCATAATTTTTGGTAATTTTGTTTCATTGGGGGGTTGTAGTACTTGTCTAAATGGTTTGTTCTTAAATTCTCCAGCCTTTCCTGTTTGATGTATGTGCCTTTCTATGTGTTTCATCTCTCTCTCAGGTACCAAACAGTACTGTTTTAGTCCTTCTACGCTCTGGGTTGTTTTCTCCTCCATTTTTTTCTAGATTTCATTGCCTGTCTCTTCTTTCATCATTTCCACTATTATTTTATTATAATAAGACTCTGCTTTGGCAAGCCAGTAGTCAAGAGAAACAGCTTGCTCCCTACAGAGTATTTCACACTCCTCCTGATATTTCTGCATTATCAACTGTCTTGCTGCTGTTGTATGCACACCACCTAGATTCTGTCAAAATGAAGTCAGAAATTTATAATGTGATCATCTTTTTCCTTTGAACACATTTAAACAGGAGCCAAGCCCACCCTCCCTAATGACACCAGGAAAAGCTACATGCTCTTTACTTTAGCTTAGTTGTTATTTTATTCCCATCACTCCCAGGTGAGCCTGGGAGCTCTGAAAGTATTAAGTACTCACCACCACAAATCAGTAACTAGGTTTAAAAATGTATGGTGTTGGAAGTTTCCAAAAATGATACTTTGTTTTGCAACTGTGGATATAGCTGGGTAACATTTGCCAGTGTAGACATACTACCTGAATGTGTCACTTGGGCAGAAGGATTTTAAACCTAAGATTCCTTCTCTGTGTAGTTCCAAACTGTATGATGTGAAGATAATTTACTTACCAAGATCTTTTTTTCCAGTGGAGACTGCTGACCTGCAGCAATCCTAGGATCTTTAGATGATGTACCCCAGGCCAATCTGGAAGATAAAAAAGGCAAGGTAGATTCAAATGTAGGAGGTGTCAGAACAAATCTGCTAATAGGGAGGACTACAGCAGGGCCATTTCCCCCATGGGAAACCACTGCATTCCTATGGTAGAAAATAATGAATGCTCTTTTAATAAGAGGATCTTTCCTTTCATATGAACAAGCATACTTTTCCTGTGGACTCAGCGTGAACCACTGTGAATCTCGTATTGGGGATTGTGAGTGGGAAGAGACATGCTCCTTGGTGAGGTGTTGTCCAAGTACATCTATGTCAGTCTGCTCAGTCCTCAAGCCTCCTTTGTGTTCTGAGACGATTGTAGGTTCTAGTTTTCTAGACGATTCTAGGTTTCTAGTTTTCTCTTCCTGCAGTTTCTTGATCCGGGCCCTCTCTGACTCTATCAGCACATACAGCATTTCTGCCCTCTAATCTTTTGTTCTGAAATTCTGTTATTTGACTGCTCAGCCCTCTGCTTGCCTGACTAACAATGCCAATCATCCTTCACTCTAAATCCATTATGAGACTATTCCCTGTTGAACCCCTCAGGATGGCAATTTGTGGTTACTCTGGGTTTATTTATAGAGGAGGCTGATGGCAACACAAATGAAAACTATCATCTTTTATGTGTCATCCCTGGTCTAGCCTGAGTTTACTGTGATGTCGTATTTAAGCCACTGAGGATGCCTGGCATTTCCTCTGTATGTCTTTTATACCATTTAGAGTTCAAAGGATGGTCTTTACAGTCTGACAGAGCTAGATCTGAAATCTAATTCTACCACTTCCTAGGTGTGTGACTCAGGGCAAGTAACTTCTGTCAGCTTTCTCATCTATAAAATGGAGATGTAAGACAAAAATCTGCCTCTCAGGGTTATAAAGAACAAATATGAATTAGATGTAAAGAGCTTGGTAAGTTCTCAATAAATTCTATCTATCTGTCCTTCACAGGTCAAGCTCCTGATTATAAAGTCTTTCCAGTCTACTCTGTCAGTGATCTTCCCTTCCTCTAAATACTTGACATATTTTAATTCTACAACTCATTTGAAAATTAATCGTGGTTTACACTGTGATATCTGTATTCACATATCACTTTTAACATTTTGATGCTGAAATTTAGGCTCATAAGGAATGAAAACTGTAATTTATATCTACAAATATGATGCCTCTATATTGTTGGAAAGGATCTGATATCAAATATTTGGTCTCACTGACCTCTTAGGAACATTCTTATTTGTCTACGTAAGCTTATTTTGAGATTGTAAACGTATGATCATCTTACTTTTACTTCTCTGTACATGGCTTCTAGCACAATACTTAACATTAGAGTCTGTGATCCCAAGTTCTCAAAATTAATGATTTGCTGATTGCTGATGATCCTTGACACATAATATCTGAGCATCTTTTTTAAATATCTGCCATAACATTGTATCTATTTTTATTAAGCCATTTCCCAGTCTTCCTTGAAGTTTACAGATATGTTTGCTTTATATGCATGTTCTGGGCTCTCACATTTTGTACCTACTAGCACAGTTTTATTATATTCTAATTATTCATTCATGTTCCTTGAGGTCAGAGAACACAGATTTCAACTTTGCAGGCTCAGCCTCAGCTCAAAACCTGGCATAGTTGCTCAATAAATCTTTACTGATTAGACTGTGAGCTTTTGTTGGGAAAAGGATATGCCTTTTAATGCTTTGTTCCTTTACTGCAATTCACAGGGGATGTTGGCTGTTTTTCAAATTAAAAACAGAAAACTGAGGAGGGTAGAATTTCAAGTTCCATTTTCAAAGGAGACACACAGATAAGTGAGAATAAAAACTGTCTACGACAATCAGCTCAACAACACGTCTCCCTTTGTAAGACAGAATAACAAGCAATTTCACAGTTAAGTGATAGGGCTTGTCACTCTTCAGCAGTTTGCTGAGTTTTAACCCTTTCACTATGGCGTTCTCTCCATTATTACAGAGAAAGGCAGATGGGAGCCTCTCCCAGCGAAAAGACTACAGCTTGTGTCCTTCATAGGAGAAAACAGTGATGGCTCCAGAACTTTTATATGAATGAACTTAGCACAGCTATCAGAGTGGATGGTGGTGGGAGGGCTAGCAGGAAACTAGTAAACAACTACAAGCTGCCCCTTCAGGGAAAGTTTCTACTTGGAATATAAGTTACAGATTAATGAAAATAGAAAGATTTCCCAAAGATACTTATTCTCATGTTTTATAAAAGATCAGGGAAATGTCAGCTGTCCACTTAACGGATGACATAATGAATTAAGAGTTCGATAGGCGGCAGGCACAACTAAAAGCCAAACTCGACCTAAGTCTTATGAAATCCTACTTAATGAGCTTTCTTGACTACTGCTAGCCTCACTTATCTGGCAGGAGTCGAAGGAGAGGAAGCCCCAAGCTCCTCTGTTCCACCACCTCCAAAGTCCTGAACCCCTTCTCAAGTGTACCACTTCATCCCTGCTTCCTTTCGTCCCGTGGGACTAAGCATTCCTCGGGCCTTCACTCTCACCACTTGCTGTCCCTCAAAAAGCCGACTCACCCCTTTCCAAGCGCAGTGAACCGTCCGCAAAGCACGAGGCCGGTTGCGAGCTGCAGAAAGCCCACGCTCGCCAGCGGGACCCAAGGAACGCTAGAACTATACGTCCCAGAACACTTAGCTTTGTTTTTAACTACGGTGCAGCCGCAAAAGGGAAATACCGGCTCAGGACCCAGGGGAGTTGTAGTTCTCTAATCCAAAGAAATCATTATTTGGCAACGTACGGTTTTCAGGGGGATATACCCCGCGACTGCGTTCCTGTAGGATGTGAGACAAAGAGAATAAATATCCCAGGATTGGGTGCTGGTGGGAAAATCTGCTGGAAGCGCAGCATTGGTTACCAATTTTGTGCTCAACCTCTCAGTACCAGGGTGAAAGTGGAGACGCAATCTCCCTTGGAAGACGTTAGTCTCCATCTCTAACGCTCCCGAGACACGGTTCGCAATTAATTATGACGTCACAGCCAATCGTCAACGCGAAAGCCTGACGCTCTAGCCGGCTCTATCTCGCTGCCCCGCCGCGGGCGCAGAGCTGGCGCTCTAGCCCACGGAGTTGGTTAACTCCTCTCACCGGCCCCTGGAAAGGGTTCCAAGTCCTTTAGTACCCGACGCTGTCTGGGAATTCCGGGCGTTTCGGCTCCTTGGTCGCAGAGGCAGGAGGCGTGCGTGGCAGGAGGGTTCGGGTTATATACTCCTAGGTCCTGGGACAGAATAGTTACGACCTCTGGGACAGGAACTCTTCTCTCTTTTGTTAATAAACTTCCAACTCCCTCCTCAGACCCGACCGCATGTCTGTCATGGACCTCGCCAATACTTGCTCCAGCTTTCAGTCGGACCTGGATTTCTGTTCAGATTGCGGCTCGGTCCTGCCTCTGCCCGGGGCTCAGGATACGGTCACCTGTATTCGCTGTGGCTTCAACATCAACGTTCGGGGTGAGAGGCTTGTACGCAGGGGTCCTGGCGGAGGGCGCAGGGTCGGAAGCTTGGGGAACTCAAGATCGGTTGGGTTGAGGAGGGGATCCTAGAGCAGGACATCAGGCGGTTGTACATTTGGTCTAGCGATGAAAACTGAGGGAAAGGATGTAGGGCCTCCTGGCCTAACCAGCCAGGGGAAAGGGGAGGTTTCCGGTGTCAGCTGTCTCTGGTTGTCTCCATAACCAGTTCTTACTTGCCTGTGCAGACTTTGAGGGGAAGGTTGTGAAGACTTCGGTTGTGTTCCACCAACTGGGGACAGCCATGCCTATGTCGGTGGAGGAAGGGCCTGAGTGCCAGGGACCTGTGGTAAGCTAATGAGATCAAGAACTGGCTCCATAAGGTGGGTAGGAAAGAAATGGAGGAGTGATTGCAAAGCTCTGGAGAGTTTTGTGCCCAATTCCAAGAGGGAAAAGAGATGTAAACCATCGACGTTTGAGAGGCGTGATCGCCTGATTCCTGTGGGAAGTAAGGGGATATGACCAGGCCTCCCTAACCCACCAGTTTCTTCCCAGGTTGACAGGCGCTGCCCTCGATGTGGTCATGAAGGAATGGCATACCACACCAGACAGATGCGTTCAGCCGATGAAGGGCAAACTGTCTTCTACACCTGTACCAACTGCAAGTGGGTATTCTTTCCCCTCCCTCTGCTCAGTCTGTTTGCTAACTAAACAAATCCAGTGATTTATTTTTTTGTACGAAATGGCCGTTTCCCTTGGTCCCATCCCTTATTTCTGTGCAGTTCTGGTAATAGGGAGATTTGTAGTTGTTTTTTATTTTTTTAAGTTACACTTTTTTAAACCTTTTTATAACCAGTGAAATAAACCTTTTAGGATTTTTTTTTTTTTTTTTTTTTTTGACAGGGTGTCGCTCTGTCACCTAGCCTGGAGTGCAGCGAGGCAATCTTGGCTCACTGCAACCTCCGCCTCCTGGGCTCAGGTAATCCTCCCACCTCAGCCTCCAAAGTAGCTGGGACCACAGACACATGCCACCACGCCTGGCTTTTTTTTTTTTTTTTTTTTTTTTTTTGTATTTTTAGTAGAGATGGGGTTTCTCTATGTTTCCCAGGCTGGTCTTGAACTTCTGAGCTCAAGTGATCCACCCACCTCAGCATCCCAAAGTGCTGGGATTACAGGCATGAGCCACCCCGCCTGACCTACTTTTAGGATATTTAAAAGGAAATGAAGAAAAAAAAAACAACATAAGAAGCAGGTATTGTTTAGTGGTCAGCATCTTATACTGCAGTCTTCAACCGCAGTCAAGGTAGCTTTCTTTGGAGAGAATTAGTCACACATGACTTAGAGAACATGGGCTTTCTGAATGCTTTTAAGACCTCATTTTTGTCTTTGGTGTTCTGCAGTCACTATAGTATATCAAAATACGATTTTCTTTTATTCTGTTTGGGATTTGTTGGACTTTCTGAAACTGAGAGTGGACTTTTTTTTCATCAACCTTGGAAAATTATCAGCCATCATCTCTTTTAATATTCTCTTTCCCCCATGTTCTCAGTCCTCACATTCTGGACCTCGAATTAGTTACTAGAAAGAGGTTTCTCTCTTCTGTCCTCCATTTCTCTCACCTTCTTTTCATATTTTCAATTGCTGTTCTCTTTATGCCACCTTCTGAGTAATTTCTTCAGGTCCCTCTTCCATGTCACTAATTCTGTCTTCAGTTTATTTCAAGTATTATTATTTTTTACTATTGTTATTATTTTGAGTTCTATTTAATTACTTTTCAAATCTCCTTAATTTTTAAATAATTATCAGTTCTTTAATCATATTTTAAATTGTTCCTTTTATTATTCTTTAAATATATATTTAAAATATTAAATATGGTTATTATATTCTATGTCTCATAATTCTGATATCTGCGGATTTTGTGTGTCTGATGCTGCTGTCTTTTGTTTCTGCTGTCTCTCTCATAGTGCTTTTTTTCTTTGTTTTGTGATTTTTGACTATAAATTCGAGTTTTTTAGAACTTGAACTGTAGGAATTCTTTGAGGCCTTGGGCGAGTGCTGTATTCTCAGCATTTGTGTTTCTTTTCTAGGTGCCTTGAAGCACTATCAAGCTGGAATTACTTTAAATAAATTCTTGGCTTCATGTTTTTTGGAGCAGACAGATAGTATGAATTTGAGCTGCAAATCCATGTAAGGGCTAGCTTACAGTTAGAAATTCTCAGGAGAGAGTTTTCTCTCTTTCTACCTACTGAGACAGTCAAATTCCCCTTCTATAGAGTTGAATTTTTTCTTTTCTTGTTCACTTTTACAAGAAAGGGCAGCCTTTTGCAGTTCCCAAATTTATGCACGGGATCTCCTATCAGACCTTATACATTTTGTCCCTCATTTCCTATGCTTCCAGTGACTGTCAAAACAGTATAAAGGGCACCATAGTGTCACTGTCACGTTTCATAGGGACATTAGTTTTAACTTCCCTGTCTGGATTTCTGGTTTTACAGAACTTTTAACCAGTGTGCAGATTGCCTTTACTTTCTTGCCATCTCATCAAAGGATTAAAAATATTCATAGTCAGATATATCTTTTAAAAGTATTTTTTTCCTATCACTGGTTGTCATTTTACCAAAAAAAAAAAAATTTTTTTTAAATAAAAAGAAGATTTTTTTTCCCAGCGTGTGGCTTGCCTATTTTCTTAACCCTCTTTAAATGAGCAGAAGTTTTAAGTTTTTATAAGGTTCAGCTTATCCTTTTTTTTTTCTTTTACAGCTAGTGCTTTCTGTGTCCTAAGAAATCTTTGCTTTGAGGTTATAACTCATTGGATATATTTTTAATCCCAGAATTTTTAGTTGTCTTGGAATTAGAATTGGAAGTTTGTTTAGGGGAGCCAGTCCTCAATGATGTCATAAATAAAAGTCCTTCCTTGATTATTTGATTGCATATCTTATCTTATACTACTAGAAACTCATCTTTTGGTGAATATAACAAGTCCTTTCTTTCCTCATAGGTTCCAGGAGAAGGAAGACTCTTGACCTTTTTCCTGGGCAACTCTACAGTCCCTCCCTCCTTTCGGAAGGTGAAGGATACTGGGTTTTTAGATGCCTTGTCCATCCTGTCTGGTTGCAATGTTTTGCTCCCAGAAGAGAATCAGATCATCATGTGGGGATTACCATTGTTCCTGGAGTACTCCTACCCTTAGTTGAATTTCCTTATTAAAGTTATATTTTTCTATAAGACCCTGACATATGTATGTTACTTATAATCTGTCTTATTCCAAAAGGAATTTAAATGAGTTTCCAGAGATATATTTATATGAAAAAGAAAAGGGGGAAAAATTAGGACAAAAAAGTAGAGTCAGGAATGAGGCTAATATAAACAAAAAGCAATTGTAAGTATTGCCATACTATTTAAATCTATTTGGTTCCTGAGTTTAGGTTAAGAAAAACTAGGAATTTGGATAGTGAGACATTTAACAGAAATTTTAACCAGATCTCTTTAGCATATAAATTTGGACAACAAAAAATCTGATACTAAGTAATGCCACTAAGTGATCACTATAGGTGAGTATTTTATTAGTATTGAGATAAATACAATACACAGTTGACCCTTGAACAACACAGGTTTGAACTGCTTGAGTCTACATATATGTGGATTTTCTTCTACTTCTGAGACCCATAAGATAGCAGCACATTTAAGCCCTCCTTTTCCTCCTCCTGAGCCTACTCAACATGAAAATGTGATCCACTTCTACTTAATGAATAGTAAATATATTTTCTTTTCCTTATGATTTTCTTAATAATGTTTTCTCTAGCTTACTTGATTGTAAGATTATATGTATTATAAGTATATAATACATATACAAAATATGTGTTAATCAACGGTTTATGTTATTGGTAAGGCATCTGGTCAACAGTAAAGTTTTGGGGGAGTCAAAAGTTATATATGGATTTTTGGCTGTTCAGAGGGTCAGCACCCCTTACCCCCATGTTGTTCAAGGATGAATTGTATATCTATTATAATAGATTCTTATATAGAAAGAAAGAAAAAAGTAAAGTCACAAGGAATCCTACTCCACAGAGATAACCAAATTATACTGTATATCTGTGCTTGTGTATATGTATGTGGCTCTGTATATGTGTGTTGCTATATATGTGTTTGGTTTTTTTAATGGACTAGACATGCTGAACTATATCTTGCTTTTTTCTGTTTGAACTAAAAACTTTCAAGGGGAACAAATGCATACTCAGGTCCCGCATTCCTTGGCTCAAATAGTGATCAAGGGGTTACTGTAATAATTATCATATAATTGTGTGGCCCTTTATATATATTCAGAGCTCTCAAACATAGCTATCTTGTTTGACCCCCACAGCAACCTGGAGAATGGGCAGGGCAGTCTTCCCCACTGTACGTTTGAACTGTTCTGGCAGTTGACTTTCCTGACCCACTCCTGAAATCTGAAACAAACCTGTTCATGTTTCTACCCTACTTTAAGCCTTTCTCTGGCCCATAACAGTGATTGGATTAAGCTTAATTTCTTAGCAAAGCATACAGGTTCTTCCATATAACCACTGCCTACCTGTCAAGCTTCATCTGGCACTCCCTCAGATCCAAGCGGTACAAAACTCCATTTCCTGTAGTGCACACATCTACAACTTTTTAAGCTGCTCTTCTAAAAAAACCTACTTGTCGGCCTTCCTGGTTCTTGTTTTACCACTTTCTTTTGCTCTCTAAGAAACGTGCATATATTTTTATAAAATAGCCTATACTGTAATTTACGACCATTTCTCTGCTTCATCCTACTCATCACCCCAGAGAGAACGAATATGTTGGCAGTATGTAACTACATTCAGATTTACAAATCAGACATGGCATTTGTTAATGCCCCAGTGTTTCATATTTTTGTTAGTTTTCAGCATGCCTGTCTTTCCTACTAGAGCTAAAAGGCAGGGTCTGAGCGTCTTACGCGCCTCCATCTTCAAGGCGTAGCACAGTGACTGAAAAAAACTGACGTTGAACGTGCACTAAACTGAACTGCTCAAACACCTACAGGCACAGGGCGAGGGGTAGAACCACATCGCTTGACTCTTAAGTGTGTTTCCAACTGCTCCCACTTCCCGTTTTCTTTAGAGAAACCCAGACCAAACAAGGAAAGGGAAATAGGCCACGGTAGGGTCATTACTATTGCTCCTTAAGCTTCCTCGCCGGTCCACCTACCCAGACAAGGCAAACGGAAATCTGCAGCAGGACTCAGCTTGGTGCACACAACTCCGCCCTCGCCACACCCACTCTGCAGCGTCTGGCCCGGCAATACCCATCTGGGCGCCCCTCCTGCTTCCTCTAGGCTGTGAGTACGCGTGCTGCCCCAGACTCTCCCTCCTCCACCCACACCCGCAGTGACACCCCTTCCGCCAAATTTGTTTCTCTTTCTTTCAGCGCCTGCGCGCTGTCACGTTACGGCGGAACTAATCCAGCGACGCCTGCGCTTTGACGCATTTGGTGCCGTGGAAGGGAAAAAGGGGGACTGCAGTATGCGTCACACCCGGAAGCGGCGAGCCGGAAGTGGGGTTAGCCAGGTTATCCCCAGGGGTGGAGAAGCGGAGGCCCAGGAGGAGGGGGAATAAAGAAGGTGGAGGATCCTGGCTACCACTCTGAATCCGATACCGCTTCTCTTAGACCTCAGCGACAGAAAAAGGGAAGGGTGTCTCATCCCCCTTCCTCCTCTCCTCCCTGTCCTGAGCCTTAGCCATGGCCGAGGCAGGGGCTGGGCTGAGCGAGACCGTCACTGAGACAACGGTTACCGTGACAACCGAGCCCGTGAGAAAGGCGGGGGGGCGGTGCTGTTTAGGGGTCTGGGAGATACTGGGAGGGAGGGGACAGGGATTAGAAGAGTTGTTGGAGGAGCTAGGCCTAGGGATATGGGAGGTGTGGGGTTGAATATCTAGGGCTGGGAGAATCGGAAGGTATTGGAGCTATTTGGAGTGGCAGAGATGGTGCAGGAGGCAGGTCAAGGAACTTGTAATAGGGAGGTACAGTTAGGATATAGGTGTTGCTGCTTGGGGTGGTTATGTGTGTAAGTAATAAACGAAAGGGAAATTGAGGATTAAGGAGCCAGGAAGATGTTGGGAGGAAATCAAAGGTAGTGTAAGAAAGCATGGTTGGAGGCCAACTTATCAATATTATCAATATTGATATTCGAATAAATATTTATTGAATGGATGAATGTAAAAGGAAGTGGCAGGAATGAGGAAACAAGAAAAGGAGATGAAAAGAGGTATTTTGAGAAATCAGAGAGCAAAGATGTAAATGGAGAAACAAGAAGTATTTATCCAAAAACATGTTAAGTTGCCTTCAAAGGGAGAAGGTTGCATTGGGCTTAATACTCTTGGATTAAAGGAAGTTTAGTAATTAATAGATTAGTAATACTTGCTACTAGAGATGCCAGGATGCCAGAGAATAGGTGGATAAGAGGTAGGGAGGGCTGGAGCTTGAGAATGAGAGAGGTTTTGTTTGTTTTTTTAAGAGAAAAAGAATAGGGGATCTGGAAAAAGGAAGGGAGATCAAAGATTAGGTGCTGGGGACTGAAAAATAATTTTCATGTATTAATACTACCAAGGATGATTTGGGGAGGAAGACGGAGAAACAGCAAGGATTATATTTTCCTTTGAAGAGTTGCTGGGACCTTTCCTAGGTTAGGAATTGTGTCTTCTCTTATACTGGTGGTATAAGAACAGGAAATAATACTTATTCCTCAAGGGACTATCTGAGGTAAAAGACCTGTTCTGTTTTATCTTCTGTCAGCTCCTCTGGTGCTATGCCTATGGTACTGATTGAGCTAAAGAAGAAAAGAGAGGAGGTTCCCTGGGAGGGAGTGGGAAAGGTTAGTAAGAGGGGACTAGATAGGTATGCTCATCCTTAACCTTCTAGGAGAACCGGAGCCTTACCATCAAACTTCGGAAACGGAAGCCAGAGAAAAAGGTAGAATGGACAAGTGACACTGTGGACAATGAACACATGGGCCGCCGCTCATCCAAATGTGAGTAATTGTTGGCCCGCAGTAGCCCTGGAGTTCTGGCTCCCTTCAGCATATCTTGTATCTACTCATATCCACTGGCTTTCCAGAAGCCCCCAGATGTTCATAGTTCTGTCACTTTTTTGGTGGTGCTGTGGTATCAGGGAAAGAGGTAGGGAAGGGCTAGAACTGGAATTGCCTAGGTCTGACAGCAAGAAGTGTCAGAGGTGGGAGAAGTGGGGCTTTGAATTCGTGGCTCTCTAAGAGGACAAGAGGGGTGGGGCCTGAGTCCCAGAGGGTGGGCCTGGGGAAGCTGGATCCTGGAAGGTAGGAGAAAATAGGAATTTTCACTGAGTTTGAGTGGGAATGGAACTGACTATATATCTTACCCTTCCTCCTCTTTAACTGGGCTCCTCCCTCTAAATCTAGGCTGCTGTATTTATGAGAAACCTCGGGCCTTTGGCGAGAGCTCCACGGAAAGTGATGAGGAGGAAGAAGAGGGCTGTGGTCATACACACTGTGTACGTGGCCACCGCAAAGGACGGCGTCGTGCAACCCTAGGACCGACCCCCACCACCCCTCCCCAGCCTCCTGACCCTTCCCAGCCCCCTCCAGGGCCAATGCAGCACTAAATCCCTCTCTCCTCCAGCATTCCTGTGTCTGTCTGGCCCTAAATGTATCCATGTGGCTACTTCTCCAGCCCCCTCCTTCCCTCTCTTCTGCCTGATAGAGGGAAGAGGAAGAGGAGGACGAACAGAGATCCTGAAATTCTGACTTGCTGCTATTCCAGAACCCAGCCTCCTGGGTTTCCCCAGTCCTCATTTTTCCTCCCAATACCCACCCTTCTCTCTCGAGGGATCTAGGCACCTTGGTCCCAGTGTCTTCCTTTTGTTCTCACTGCCAAACTGCCTGTCCTGGGATCTAGTTATCTTGGCCCTGCACTCTCAACATGAGTAGCGAACACTTAAATTGGGTTTTCAACAGTCCCAGCTTTCACTGCCAGGGTCCCAGTCAGATTCCAGGAATTTGCGCCCTAACTTTGCTTGCTAATCCTGGTTTAGAGCTATCCCACTAAAATATTTAATCCTAATTCTTAGTCCTTGCCTGTGAGATATGAGGTCTTACAGGAGACCTCAGAGCTCCCAGCCCTTCTCCTCCTGCTAACCCTTCTCACACCCTCAAGAGGAGTTAGAAAAGAGGTCCTTGTCATTCTCACCTCTTATGGAAAATGGAATAAGAAATAATCATATCCTTTCTTCCCACCCTTCTCCTGTTATTTAGGATTTCTGACAAAGCTGGCTTGAGATTGGTCACTTAGAGCCGACTGTCTCCTCTGCCTTTTGTTTTTCAGCTTCAGAGACAGATCCAATATAGTCCCAGGGACCTGGGTCTCTGGGAGAGGAAGGAAGAGGGAGGGAGCAAAGAGATTGGGGTATGTCCCCTGTAGTACACTCTTACCTCTTACTTCCTAGACTTTGATTTCTCCGGCAGCCCAGATGTTCAGTTCTCTTGGCCCCTCTCTACCCCTTACTGGGATCTGGTTTTCATTTTCCGGTCCTTTTGCCATACACAGTTACAGAGATCAGTCAAATCCATACCACCACTGAGATCTCATTTATTGCCACAGATGCACAAAATAAATAACCCAAAATCACAAAATGTGTTAAATATGGGCCCATTTATACTTATGGGGAAGGGTGTGAGACTATACACAAGGATGAGTTTGGAGATGTCTGAAGTATTCCCAGGTTGAGGAGGAGAGAGGGGAAATAGCACCATTGGTTCCTTTCCGTGAGTATGTGCGGGGAGAAGTTTCAAGAAGGTTCTTATGGAAAAAAGGCTGTGAGCATAGAAAGCAGTCATAGGAGGTTGGGGAACTAGCTTGTCCCTCCCCACCCCCGGATCCTGCAAAAGAGGTACAAAGCTTCCCAGAGGGCCACAGGGCCCAGACCAGAGTCAAGCCTCTTGTTTTAGGAGAAACCTCAGTGGACAGGCAGGGTAGCCCAGTCCTTAGATCTGTGGGGAAGGCCCTGAGCCCTTCTGGAGCTAGGAGTGGCAAGAGTGGGAGTCAAGTATTTGACCAGCAGAGCCTCTATGTAGGAATCATGGTCACTTTACCAATACTGATGGGGAGGGCCTGTTCCCCATTGCAGGCCTAGAATGGTTTGAATGGGAGAAGTCAGGAAGTACTGTAGTAGCTGTAGGGGAGAGAAGATTCTGAGAGCCAGAAGGCAGGAATGGATTTGGTTTTGAGCAGGGACGTGGAAACGTGGAGACCAGGTGAGGTCTCATTATTTTGGGGCGAAAATGTGGGTTGCTATTAATACTCCTGCAATGGGCGTGTGAATGTGTTCCCAGAAATGAGTGGGGAATTCCACCCCCAAAAAGCAGCTGCAGGGCCAGTGGCCGGGCCAAACTTCTAGTTGGAGACGAGACTCAGCTTTCCGCTGGTACAATGCGGAGCGGAGCACGAGGGTCGCAGGTGCAGAACAGCGGGAAGATGCGCTCCCCCAGGGGGCCAGGCGCCTGGAAGGCGTAAAGCAGGTCGAGTGAGCGGCCGTCGTAGAAGGCCACGCGGCCCCGCTCCCAGTCCAGGTCCACGCGAATGCGCCGCGGCGGGGGCTCAACACCGCCCAGCAGGGTGGGTTCGGGTGCCGTGAGGGCCCACAGGCGGCCGCCGCGGCCCTCCACGGCCCACACGGCCCCCGCAGGGCACAGCCTTACGCAGCCCTTGCGTTGCACTGATTCCCCGGCCGCGCCCACTGCATAGTGGCTCTCCTCGTCGTCCGCATCCTCCCCAGAAGAGTCTCTGCAGGAGGCGGCGTCCGCAGTCTCCACCTCCCAGCAGTGGCGGCCGGCCCCGAAGCCCTGCGCACCCAGCACAGCTGGGAGCTGATCGAAGCGCTTGGGGCCGTCAGGGGGCGCGGGCGTCCCTGGTGGGGCCAGTTGTACGCTGCGGCGGTCGGCGGAGATGAGCAGGCGGCGGTGTGCGGTCCCAGGGTCCAGGGTCAGGTCGGCTGGAGACGGGGAGGCAGGGAGAGGACCTCATGAGAGAGTTTTCTAAATCACAGGCGGGGTAGGGTGGAGAATAGTCAACGAAGATCACGTAAAAGACTGAGAGCTAGTGACCACACAACAGCTCAAAAGGCGACTGCAGGACCAAAAAGAAGGAAGGCATATGAAGAGCAGACCTGGGCAATATCAGACCTTGTACTGATGCACCACTTCTGTAGAATTGGACCTGGGGAAGGATCATACTGGCCCAGTGCAGGGAGCACAGCAGGAAGATCAAATGAGAGGTTGTCTCGTTTGTGGGGTTGGGGGAGGAAGAGTGAGGCTGATCTGACTTCGAGGGAGGAGTAAGGACTGATACCTCAATCTGCATCATCTGGGGTGGGGCATGGGAGCTGGGTCAGCAAAATGGGGAAGGTTCATCTAAAGAGAAAGTCGTACTGATACTGGAACCTCAAGTAATGGGAGGGGCACAGGGAGGAATCCAAGGTATCCTGAGAAACCAGCCCACCCACCCACAGGAATTGGGGGGTGGGGTGGACAGTCCTATTTCTGTAGGGGTTGTGGGGCAGAGGAGGAGAGCAGGTGGTGATAGCCAGAGACCAGAAAAAGAACCATTGGCCTTATATGTATGGGGTGCTTTGAAGAAAAATTTCTGGATTAGGGGTGTCAGAAGCAATCTGGACTGGGCAAGATGGTGGATGACCAAGATGGTGGACCACCTTCTCTAGGCAGTTTAAAGAAGGGTAGAGGCACCCTTCTTCTTGGGAGTGAGTGAGGAAAGAAGGGTCAAGGAGATGCTGGGGTCCCCTTCCAGGGAGGAGTGACGAGAGGTGGTGGAAGCAGAGATTTTTGAGAGGCACCTAACCTTCAGGGATCTGTTGTTTGAATGTATGAAAAAGGAAGAGGGAAAATGGCTGGAATATGAGGAATCGAGGATAGACATTGTTATAGGCTGAACTGTGCCCTCCCCCACTCCACACACACACACAAAGATAGGTTGAAGTCCTCCAAACCTCAGAATGTTACCTTGTTTTGAAACAGGATCTTTACATAGGTAATCAAGTTAAAATGAAGGTCATTAGGGTGGGCTCTAATCCAGATTGCTGACTTACAAAAAGAGGAAATTTGGACACAGAGACAAATGCATACAAAAGAAAATGTGCAGACCTATCACCCAAAGAACATGTGAGGCTACCAGAGGCTAGGAGACAGGCATGGAACAGATTCTGTCTCATGGCCGTCAGAAGGAACCAACACTGCTGACACCTTGATTTCAGACTTCTACCTCCTGAACTTTGAGATAAATGTCTGTTGTTTCAGCCACCTACTTTGCGGTGCTTCATTAGAGCAGTACTAGGAAACTAATGCAGACATCAAAAAGGACCTGATCACTTTTTAGGGCTAAAAGGAAGAAAATCTAACACAGACTTTCATTCAATTCCCTTCCCTCCCTTCTTCTTTCCTTACCTGTCAGTCTATGAAGCATTTTTTTGACCACTGGATAATCTTCAGGGAGATCATCCTCTGAATTAGATGACTTGGATGTTGGGACTTCAAATCTACACAGATGAGGGGAAGGGTCAGGAAATCAGCCCTCTGATCCTAATGCCCCCACGCATACCCCACTCACATCTCTGGAGGAAGAAGGGATGAGACTATACCCCAGAAAACCTGCCTATTAATGGGAACAAAGGTGTGGGCCCAGTGAGAACGTGATGGCTATGGCAGCTGGTGAGAAAAGGAGGGAACAGAAAAGTGGAACTCACCGTCTCCATGTCTTCCTCATATCCTAGGATGGGCAGAAACAAACATGGATGTGAGCTCTGGGCTTCATTCCCTGGGGCATCCTTCCCTATCTCTCCCCTCCTCAGGTGAGTTCTGTCTGAGTTAGCAGTGTCCCTCCTCACCTTTCAGAGTGATCTCACCTCTTTACACACTGTGCTCCTTTCCCTCTCATTCTCCTCCTTCACCTTTCATGATCCCTCCTTCCTCTCACCCCATCACTTTTCCCTCATCCTCCTAACTCCATCCCCACTGTCCTCCCCCTTTCCACTCCCCAAGGGTTCTCAATTCTCTTTTCCCAGGCTCGTCCATGACTGTTTCTTGTCCTCAGAGCCCTTGCCTTCCTTGCTGCCTCCTCAGTCCCATTCTCTGTCTCTTTCAGCGGCCCCATCCTTATCTACCTTCCCCAGTGCATCCCAGAAAAACATCTGTCCCTTCCTCCCTCCATCACACAGACCAAACACACACCCAGAGCCCTCGGGCTAAGAGTTGGTATATAAAAGCCTTACAATAAAGCTGCTTCCCCTCTTGCAATAAAAGCCCAGTGGCATTTATTGGGCCCTTTGCTTTGTGTCTCTGGACCCTGGCCAGGGAGGCAGCTAGACTTGAATGTGTCCCAAAAGGCCCAGCAGATCCACAGAGTACTATGGGAGCCAGGAGAGGGCACTGGATGCTCCCCTCCAAACACTGGGATACCGACCCCTCCACTTCACTGTCTAGTGCTGATGGCTGGAGCAGGCCGATATGGTGGAGCGGGGGAGAGAGAAACAATTTGCATAATTGTGCCAATTACTTTCAGACTAATTAGGTCTATGAAGACTTCAAAGGGCAGAAGCAAGACCCAAGACCAGCTTGGCTGCTGGGAAGAAGCCAGTCAGGAGTCCCAGACGCCCAGGGGTCGGTCGGGCAAGGGAATGGGCTGGTTAGTGGCCAAGGAGCCGGGGCCCAGGAGAGGCGCGGTGGGTAGATGGGTGGTAAGACTGGGATGTGGAGAGGAGCCAGAGGCCCCAGCGGCTGTTCTCCCGCACCTCGCCTCCACCCCTGGCCGCTCCTGCCTGGGGCCTTGGGAGGAGCCGAAATAACAATAACAAACAACACAGGGCTTAGCTTGAGCCAGAGTCCGAGACCAACCCCCACGACGCTACGGGGAGGTTTGGATATGCCCCAACCCCTTGCTCCCTTCCTCCATCCTCTTGTCAGTCCCCTCCTCCCCAGCTTTTTCTCCGCCCCCAACCCACCAGCCCAGCCTCCTGCTCCCGCTCCTCTAAGCAGGTTCTGCCCTCGCCCACCATCCTCCCAGGACCCCTCCTCACCCTCAGCTGGGTCGGCTCTCCCTTCCGCCCGCCGCTCCCTCCCCTCCGCCAGCTCTCCTCCTCCCGGGCGCCTGCGGCTGCCCTGCCAAAACTTCTGCAGTTCCCATGCCCTTCGCGGCGACTCCAGGGCTCTCCGCGTTCTATCCGGTACCCCTTCTCTGCCTCCCCAGTCTCTTCTCTCCAGCCCCTCTCACAAGGCTCAGGCATCGGTCCAGCCTCCTCCCCTGTGGACCAAGTGTCAACTCCATCCATCGTCCTTCCGGGCGCCTCTCACCTTGAGGACCCAGGGTCCTCGCCCCCTCATCCTTTGCTTTTCTCTCCCCACCCCATCCTTTGCCTAAACTTCCACAGGGCCTCCGGCTCCAGACGTGCCATTCCCGGCTTCCCCGGGAATCTCCCGCTTCCACCAACAACTCCGCGACGCGCGCCCAGCCTCACCTCTCCGGGCAGGTCCAGGCAGCCCATGGTGGGGATGCGCCCCCCTCGGCGTCTCCCCGCACGGGCCCCAGGCTCAGCCAGCTTCTCTCGCAGCTCGCGGCTGATTCGCACCTCCACCGCCAGCCGCACATTAGACCTCAGGCTGCGGCGGGGACACGGCAGGCCGCAGCAGGGACAGGCGGTGGGGGAAGCCTCGGTGCCGGTCGCCGGCGGAGTCCCCCAGCGGCGGGCCAGACACGCGCGGCAGAAGCTGTGCTCGCACGCCAGAAGCACCGGGTCCTCGAAGGAGCCCCCGCACAGAGGACACGTCGCCAGCTGCTCCAGACGCTCCACCAGCCCCGGGCCCAGCTCGGGCGCATCCATGGAAAGCCAGGATCTGGACGCCGCCCCTTCCGCGACCACCGTGACCGCCTTCGAGCGCGCAGATGGCGGGCCGCCCCTGCTGCTTGCTGTGTAGATGCCCTTCTCTCCGACTCCCGCATTAACTTTTGCCGCTTTCCGCCCCTCTCCTGGGATTGCCTCTCTCTTCAACCAGAGTCTCAGTCTCGTCAAATCTCTCCACCACATCAGGCTTTATAGGGAGGGAGGAGGCTCCCACGGGAGGTAAACACCAGGCCTTGCGTAACGCCTCATCTGGTTCTCCTGCTTCCCGGGTAAGGTTTGGGGGAGCAGGGAGGGGAGAATAGCACACCTGGTTCCCAGAGCCTAGGAGGCGGTCACTAGAGGGCGCTCTGGGGCGGGGTAGCCCTGTGTGGGGAGGGTAGCCCCCTGTGACCCCCCGAAGAGCCCCAATTTTACCTTCCCCTCCGCCTGTGGTACGCGCATGGGCCGGGTGCCCAGGCTCACTCTTGGCATGTGCGCCCACATTGCCAAGGTGCGAGTCATTCCAGGTGGCTGGCACACCTACATCTGGGGGCTGGGGGCCGGAAGCACAGATCCTGGTTTGTGTGGCTTTGGCAAGCCTCTGAGTGTTGATGTGTGGTTTTCATTCCTGGTGCCTCTCGCCTTTCCATCTTCCTTCCTTACCTATTAAGGGCTTAAGGGCATTCTGCAGCTCTGGGGTAAGGGGTGGGGAGCAGGCGCCCACACTTCGGCCTCAGGGAGTCGGGGCAGAGCTCTTTCAGCTCTACCTCTGGCCAGCTCCCAGGGCCTCTCCTTACTTTCTTCGTAAGTCTCTCTTTCTGGTTCTTTCTCTCTGTTTTTCCCCGTGTGTGATTTTATTACCAGTTTTCTCTTTCCTTCCTTCTTTGGAATGTACCCGGTATTATCTATTTCAACTCTGGTAGTTCACAGAGGCCCAGAGAACTGGAATAGCCAAGGTCACATAGCAAGGGAATGACCAGAAGTGGAGCCCTACCCTGGTCTTCTGACTTGTGTTCTTGCTGTGACTCAACCCTGCCTTTTTCAGTTGCAGATCCCTGGGACCCCCTCCTGCTTCCTGATTTTTTTCTGGTGTTCCTTTGTGCCTTCATTCCTCACCTCCATTCTCTCTTTTTCTCCTTACCTGCTCCTCTCCCCACCTCTCCTCTTCCTCCCTGCTCCCTCCTCTTCCTAGCTTCTCTACCCTTCCAATGCCAGGCCTAGCTAACTGGATACTCATGGGGGTTTGTGCATAAGTAAACATCCAGATGTCTACAACTATGATCACCCACACTGTTATATAACATGTGTCTGCATCCATCAGTGTCCAAATGCCCAAATGTGCACAAACTTGCAGACAGAAGCATTCATGTAATACAAACATCACAGCTAAATATAATGTGTATGAATAGCCTCATATGCATTGAATATCACTGGGATAAATGTCCAGTATTATTTAGGAACAGACGGACATGCTCAAAGAAAACAGGCAAAGAGACAGATACTCTATCATCAGTTTTATTATTAATAAGAATAACAGTATAACAGCAGTAAGTCTTTATGGAGCAGCAGGACTTTATTAGGCACCCCCTCCAGGCACTCTTCTTCTGCCTCCCCCATACTTATCGGGGAGACACTCAAATATGACACCCTGATAAACAAACCTACACAAACAAACACACGTACATTCATCTTGGAACAACCCTCCCGGCTCAGTGCTCATAAAACACACAGATACCCAAGCATAAGACTACAGTTGTGACTGAAATCTATTTTGTAAAAGATGCACTTCTATGCTCTGATAGGTAGCATAGAGAGATAGCAGCATGAGAAGTGATCAGCCTGACATTGCTGGCTTTGGAGACTGAGGCAGGAAGCCACAAGCTAAGGAAGTGGGTAACCTCTGGAAGCTGCAAAAGACGAGGGAATGGATTCTCTAGCAGACCATTCAGAAGGAACCTAGCACTGCTGACACCTTAATTTTTGCCCAGTAAGACCCATTTCAGACTCTGAACTACAGAATAATAAAGTAACAAATGTGTATTGTTTCAAGCTCCTAAGTTTGTGGTAATTTGTTACAGTATCAATAGGAAACTAATACACAAGATTGCCTTTTCTCCTCCAGTCTCTGACTCTCTGAGTCTGTTTGCACTTCTGTGTTGTTGCACCTTCCAGTTTGTCATATTTTCTGGATGTCTCTGCCTCTCTTGACCTTCTTTTCAGTCTCATGTTATCTCTTTTCCTTCATTGTCCTGGCTTATCCCCAACTCCAAGGCCTCTCAGGATCTTTTTGGATCTGGGCTTGAAGTACTGGAGAAATGTCTCTGAGACTCCTCAAGAACCTCAATTGTCACCAATCCAAGTGCCTTGCTATGGCCCTCATGGGCTTGTCAGCGGTTAACAGCTTCAGTTGCACATTAGAATTATCTGGGAAACTTTAAAACTCCTGATGCCCAAGTGACACCTCAGACCAATTAAACGGACACCCTGGGGGTGGGTCCCAGGTGTCAGTACTTTTAAAAGCTTTCCAGATGGTTGCAGTGTTTAGCTAACAGGAGAACCATGGTCTTGAATGACGGCTGTTCATGTGGGCTGGTCACTCCATTTTGCTCCTTGTGCTCTGGCTGCAGTGCCTTCTACTTCTCGTTCCCCGAGCCACTGCTGGTGCGGCTGCACCGCCTTTGCACTCACTGTTCCCTCTGCCTGGGCCCCTGCTCCTCCAGAGCTTCACATGGCTTTCTCCATTTTCTCACTCATGTCTCAACCCAAAGGTAACATTCAGAGAGGACTTCTTTTACCACTTGTATCTCAAGTGGTCTTTCTCAAAGGTATTCACTATCTCTTTACCCATATTTATTATCTTCATGCTATTTATTACTGTCTGCAGTGATCTATTTATGGACTTTTGATGTGTCTCTGTCCAATAGAAGGTGAGTGAACAGGGACCTAACCTTCATGTTTGCTGCTGCTTTCCCTGCACCTAGAATAGCACCTGGCACACAGTGAGCCTTAATAAACTTAGGTCCAGTTGTTGAATTGCTCATTACACTGATTGGACAACCTGAGAGGGTCATTTGATTGACTCTGCTTAGACCTTCTTATCCTTCTCAACCAATAGTCATGCCTCACTGGCAGATGCCAGGCATAGTGCTGGGAAACGCTCAGGTGTTATAAGACATATGGTGCTCAGTCTGGCTAGGAAGTTCATGACTAGTTGTCATTTGCCTTCCATAACCAGATGGTGAGGATTCCTGCTAACAAAGCATCAGCTCAACCTTTACGTCCAGGTTACAATGAGTTCATACCTAATGGTTCCAGGACACCAGTAAGGGAAAAGGCATTTGGAGACAGACTCTGCCTGGAAACATCTCACTTCTCAAGACCTTCTCCCTCCCTTTCCAGAATCCCTAACAACTCTATACTTGATGCTCTAATCACCACTGAGTTCATTCTATTTCCAGAGAGCCAGAAGGGTGGATGTGATTTTACGTGTGTCAGCTTGGCTTGGCTTGATCCAGTTGACCATGACGGGATCCTGTCTCTCTGCTAGGATCCACATCTTCCTTCCTTAATGTAGGTGTCTCCTAAATAACTGTTCCCACCCCTTTCCAACTCCTTCCAGGATTCCTACTTGTGGTGTTGTGGAGTGTGACAGCTTGATACCCATGCATGGCACTAGGGAATGTCAGAGGTGGGACAGGCCTTGACCCATCCCTTCTTTTCCTTCTCTTCATTTTTTTCTTCTATCCTTTCATTTATCCTTCAGTCTCTCTCCTCCATATTAGCAACATCCTCATGCTTTTAAAAGCCCCACTAGTCTTTAGAAGCTTTCCAGAGGGAGAGATAAGTATGATAGAGGAGTTTGGGAGACTGATCACAGGACAGTCATGGTCCCTGCCCTTAGGAAGTGTGATAAGGCAGGTAAAGTGTATCCATCATCAACAAAATTTAGCATTACTGAATTAGGGTGTGTAAGAAGGCAGATAAAGTGTATCCATCATCAACCTAAATCTGTCATTACCAAATTTTAAAGGTGCAGTGACGGGGGAAGAGTGAGGGAGGATTCTGTTGACAGATTGAAGGACAAGTGGGAATCATTTCAGGAAGTCTTCCAGGAGGAGGTGACCTGTAAAAGAAGTGAAGGTTGTGTTGACTGGAAGAGAAGTGAAAAGGCCTGAACAAAGAATGTGAAGCATCTCTGGGGAGAAAACTGGATTGGGAAAAGAAGGGCTAGGAGGTAAGAAATCAAAATGAAGGAGACCATAATTCTTTCTCAATTCCCACTCACTATGCCCTTCCCAAAGATTTTCTTCAATCTTGATTGTTTCTATAATGACTCATTTTTTTAAGGACTTGGATGTTTACACTGTGCTTTAACATAGCTGGAAATTCTATTAGACCAGAGCAGTTTTCCTATGCAACTACTCCAAGGACTCTGAGTAAAACTTGCCCTGATGGGGGAGGCAGTTTTAGGAGGGGTGGCTTGAGGCAGGGATAGAGGAAGAATATCCAGCCAGATTAATCCAATCAATCTTGATACTCAAATACATGACTATGTTATAGAAATGTCACCTTCATAGTCCATTCTCTCATTTAACCCTATAACAGCCGTGAGGCCAAGTCCAGCCATGTTACACTGAGGCCCCTGGGATTCTGGCATGGTAAGGGATTTGACTAGGCTCAAACAGCCGGCAGGAGGCAGAGCCAGGACTGAAATTCAAACCTGCTGGCTCCAAAGTCTATATTCTTTTCCTTAAATATTAATTTCTTTCTTTTGAGACTTTACTTTCTCTTTTCTGTCCCTCCTGGAAGGCTCCTTCCTTTCTCTCCCTTTAAATCCCTGCTTAGGGCTAACAGTTTCTCTGAAATGTTGCCCATCCTTCAAGTTCATGTAGGTGCTCACTTATTCTCTTTCCTTCCAACAACCCACCTATCAATGTCACTAATATTTCTATCCATCATTTAAATTCTCCCCTAAATGTTCACTATTTGTCTTCTCAGTTTTCTTATTTATTTATTTATTTATTATTATTATACTTTAAGTTTTAGGGTACATGTGCACAATGTGCAGGTTAGTTACATATGTATACACGTGCCATGCTGGTGCGCTGCACCCACCAACTCGTCATCTAGCATTAGGTATACCTCCCAATGCTATCCCTCCCCCCTGCCCTCACCCCACAACAGTCCCCAGAGTGTGATGTTCCCCTTCCTGTGTCCACGTGTTCTCATTGTTCAATTCCCACCTATGAGTGAGAATATGCGGTGTTTGGTTTTTTGTTCTTGCGATAGTTTACTGAGAATGATGATTTCCAATTTCATTCATGTCCCTACAAAGGACATGAACTCATCATTTTTTATGACTGCATAGTATTCCATGGTGTATATGTGCCACATTTTCTTAATCCAGTCTATCATTGTTGGACATTTGGGTTGGTTCCAAGTCTTTGCTATTGTGAATAATGCCACAATAAACATACGTGTGCATGTGTCTTTATAGCAGCATGATTTATAGTCCTCTGGGTATATAACCAGTAATGGGATGGCTGGGTCAAATGGTATTTCTAGTTCTAGATCCCTGAGGAATCGCCACACTGACTTCCACAATGGTTGAACTAGTTTACAGTCCCACCAACAGTGTAAAAGTGTTCCTATTTCTCCACATCCTCTCCAGCACCTGTTGTTTCCTGACTTTTTAATGATTGCCATTCTAACTGGTGTGAGATGGTATCTCATTGTGGTTTTGATTTGCATTTCTCTGATGGCCAGTGATGGTGAGCATTTTTTCATGTGTTTTTTGGCTGCATAAATGTCTTCTTTTGAGAAGTGTCTGTTCATGTCCTTCGCCCATTTTTTGATGGGGTTGTTTGTTTTTTTCTTGTAAATTTGTTTGAGTTCATTGTAGATTCTGGATATTAGCCCTTTGTCAGATGAGTAGGTTGCGAAAATTTTCTCCCATTTTGTAGGTTGCCTATTCACTCTGATGGTAGTTTCTTTTGCTGTGCAGAAGCTCTTTAGTTTAATTAGATCCCATTTGCCAATTTTGGCTTTTGTTGCCATTGCTTTTGGTGTTTTAGACATGAAGTCCTTGCCCATGCCTATGTCCTGAATGGTAATGCCTAGGTTTTCTTCTAGGGTTTTTATGGTTTTAGGTCTAACATTTAAGTCTTTAATCCATCTTGAATTAATTTTTGTATAAGGTGTAAGGAAGGGATCCAGTTTCAGCTTTCTACATATGGCTAGCCAGTTTTCCCAGCACCATTTATTAAATAGGGAATCCTTTCCCCATTGCTTGTTTTTCTCAGGTTTGTCAAAGATCAGATACTTGTAGATATGCGGCCTTATTTCTGAGGGCTCTGTTCTGTTCCATTGATCTATATCTCTGTTTTGGCACCAGTACCATGCTGTTTTGGTTACTGTAGCCTTGTAGTATAGTTTGAAGTCAGGTAACGTGATGCCTCCAGCTTTGTTCTTTTGGCTTAGGATAGACTTGACGATGCGGGCTCTTTTTTGGTCCCATATGAACTTTAAAGTAGTTTTTTCCAATTCTGTGAAGAAAGTCATTGGTAGCTTGATGGGGATAGCATTGAATCTGTAAATTACCTTCGGCAGTATGGCCATTTTCACGATATTGATTCTTCCTACCCATGAGCATGGAATGTTCTTCCATTTGTTTGTATCCTCTTTTATTTCCTTGAGCAGTGGTTTGTAGTTCTCCTTGAAGAGGTCCTTCACATCCCTTATAAGTTGGATTCCTAGGTATTTTATTCTCTTTGAAGCAATTGTGAATGGGAGTTCACTCATGATTTGGCTCTGTGTTTGTCTGTTGTTGGTGTATAAGAATGCTTGTGACTTTTGTACATTGATTTTGTATCCTGAGACTTTGCTGAAGTTGCTTATCAGCTTAAGGAGATTTTGGGCTGAGACAGTGGGGTTTTCTAGATATACAATCATGTCGTCTGCAAACAGGAACAATTTGACTTCCTCTTTTCCTAATTGAATACCCTTTATTTCCTTCTCCTGACTAATTGCCCTGGCCAGACCTTCCAACACTATGTTGAATAGGAGTGGTGAGAGAGGGCATCCCTGTCTTGTGCCAGTTTTCAAAGGGAATGCTTCCAGTTTTTGCCCATTCAGTATGATATTGGCTGTGGGTTTGTCATAGATAGCTCTTATTATTTTGAAATACATCCCATCAATACCTAATTTATTGAGAGTTTTTAGCATGAAGCATTGTTGAATTTTGTCAAAGGCCTTTTCTGCATCTATTGAGATAATCATGTGGTTTTTGTCTTTGATTCTGTTTATATGCTGGATTACATTTATTGATTTGTGTATATTGAACCAGCCTTGCATCCCAGGGATGAAGCCCACTTGATCATGGTGGATAAGCTTTTTGATGTGCTGCTGGATTTGGTTTGCCAGTATTTTATTGAGGATTTTTGCATCAATGTTCATCAAGGATATTGGTCTAAAATTCTCTTTTTTGGTTGTGTCTCTGCCCAGCTTTGGTATCAGGATGATGCTGGCCTCATAAAATGAGTTAGGGAAGATTCCCTCTTTTTCTATTGATTGGAATAGTTTCAGAAGGAATGGTACCAGTTCCTCCTTGTACCTCTGGTAGAATTCGGCTGTGAATCCATCTGGTCCTGGACTCTTTTTGGTTGGTAAGCTATTGATTATTGCCACAATTTCAGATCCTGTTATTGGTCTATTCAGAGATTCAGCTTCTTCCTGGTTTAGTCTTGGGAGAGTGTATGTGTCAAGGAATTTATCCATTTCTTCTAGATTTTCTAGTTTATTTGCATAGAGGTGTTTGTAGTATTCTCTGATGGTAGTTTCTGTTTCTGTGGGATCGGTGATGATATCCCCTTTATCATTTTTTATTGTGTCTATTTGATTCTTCTCTCTTTTTTCTTTATTAGTCTTGCTAGCGGTTTATCAATTTTGTTGATCCTTTCAAAAAACCAGCTCCTGGATTCATTAATTTTTTGGAGGGTTTTTTTGTGTCTCTATTTCCTTCAATTCTGCTCTGATTTTAGTTATTTCTTGCCTTCTGCTAGCTTTTGAATGTGTTTGCTCTTGCTTTTCTAGTTCTTTTAATTGTGATTATAGGGTGTCAATTTTAGATCTTTCCTGCTTTCTCTTGTGGGCATTTAGTGCTATAAATTTCCCTCTACACACTGCTTTGAATGCGTCCCAGAGATTCTAGTATGTTGTGTCTTTGTTCTCGTTGGTTTCAAAGAACATCTTTATTTCTGCCTTCATTTCGTTATGTACCCAGTAGTCATTCAGGAGCAGGTTGTTCAGTTTCCATGTAGTTGAGCGGTTTTGAGTGAGATTCTTAATCCTGAGTTCTAGTTTGATTGAACTGTGGTCTGAGAGATAGTTTGTTATAATTTCTGTTCTTTTACATTTGCTGAGGAGAGCTTTACTTTCAAGTATGTGGTCAATTTTGGAATAGGTGTGGTGTGGTGCTGAAAAAAATGTATATTCTGTTGATTTGGGGTGGAGAGTTCTGTAGATGTCTATTAGGTCTGCTTGGTGCAGAGCTGAGTTCAATTCCTGGGTATCCTTGTTAACTTTCTGTCTTGTTGATCTGTCTAATGTTGACAGTGGGGTGTTAAAGTCTCCCATTATTAATGCATGGGAATCTAAGTCTCTTTGTAGGTCACTCAGGACTTGCTTTATGAATCTGGGTGCTCCTGTATTGGGTGCATATATATTTGGGATAGTTAGCTCTTCTTGTTGAATTGATCCCTTTACCATTATGTAATGGCCTTCTTTGTCTCTTTTGATCTTTGTTGGTTTAAAGTCTGTTTTATCAGAGACTAGGATTGCAACCCCTGCCTTTTTTTGTTTTCCATTTGCTTGGTAGATCTTCCTCCATCCTTTTATTTTGAGCCTATGTGTGTCTCTGCACGTGAAATGGGTTTCCTGAATACAGCACACTGATGGGTCTTGACTCTTTATCCAATTTGCCAGTCTGTGTCTTTTAATTGGAGCATTTAGTCCATTTACATTTAAAGTTAATATTGTTATGTGTGAATTTGATCCTGTCATTATGATGTTAGCTGGTTATTTTGCTCATTAGTTGATGCAGTTTCTTCCTAGTCTCAATGGTCTTTACATTTTGGCATGATTTTGCAGCAGCTGGTACTGGTTGTTCCTTTCCATGTTTAGTGCTTCCTTCAGGAGCTCTTTTAGGGCAGGCCTGGTGGTGACAAAATCTCTCAGCATTTGCTTGTCTGTAAAGGATTTTATTTCTCCTTCACTTATGAAGCTTAGTTTGGCTGGATATGAAATTCTGGGTTGAAAATTCTTTTTTTTAAGAATGTTGAATATTGACCCCCACTCTCTTCTGGCTTGTAGAGTTTCTGCCGAGAGATCCGCTGTTAGTCTGATGGGCTTCCCTTTGAGGGTAACCCGACCTTTCTCTCTGGCTGTTCTTAACATTTTTTCCTTCATTTCAACTTTGGTGAATCTGACAATTACGTGTCTTGGAGTTGCTCTTCTCGAGGAGTATCTTTGTGGCGTTCTCTGTATTTCCTGAATCTGAACGTTGGCCTGCCTTGCTAGATTAGGGAAGTTCTCCTGGATAATATCCTGCAGAGTGTTTTCCAACTTGGTTCCATTCTCCCCGTCACTTTCAGGTACACCAATCAGATGTAGATTTGGTCTTTTCACATAGTCCCATATTTCTTGGAGGCTTTGCTCGTTTCTTTTTATTCCTTTTTCTCTAAACTTCCCTTCTCGCTTCATTTCATTCATTTCATCTTCCATCGCTGATACCCTTTCTTCTAGTTGATCGCATCAGCTCCTGAGGCTTCTACATTCTTCACGTAGTTCTCGAGCCTTGGTTTTCAGCTCCATCAGCTCCTTTAAGCACTTCTCTGTATTGGTTATTCTAGTTATTCATTCTTCTAAATTCTTTTCAAAGTTTTCAACTTCTTTGCCTTTGGTTTGAATGTCCTCCCATAGTTCGGAGTAATTTGATCGTCTGAAGCCTTCTTCTCTCAGCTCGTCAAAGTCATTCTCCGTCCAGCTTTGTTCCATTCCTGGTGAGGAACTGCATTCCTTTGGAGGAGGAGAGGAGCTCTGCTTTTTAGAGTTTCCAGTTTTTCTGCTCTGTTTTTTCCCCATCTTTGTGGTTTTATCTACTTTTGGTCTTTGACGATGGTGATGTACAGATGGGTTTTTTGTGTGGATGTCCTTTCTGTTTGTTAGTTTTCCTTCTAACAGACAGGACCCTCAGCTGCAGGTCTGTTAGAGTACCCGGCCGTGTGAAGTGTCAGTCTGCCCCTGCTGGGGGGTGCCTCCCAGTTAGGCTGCTCGGGGGTCAGGGGTCAGGGACCCACTTGAGGAGGCAGTCTGCCCGTTCTCAGATCTCCAGCTGCGTGCTGGGAGAACCACTGCTCTCTTCAAAGCTGTCAGACAGGGACATTTCAGTCTGCAGAGGTTACTGCTGTCTTTTTGTTTGTCTGTGCCCTGCCCCCAGAGGTGGAGCCTACAGAGGCAGGCAGGCCTCCTTGAGCTGTGGTGGGCTCCACCCAGTTCGAGCTTCCCGGCTGTTTTGTTTACCTCAGCAAGCCTGGGCAATGGCGGGCGCCCCTCCTCCAGCCTCGCTGCCACCTTGCAGTTTGATCTCAGACTGCTGTGCTAGCAATCAGCGAGACTCTGTGGGCGTAGGACCCTCTGAGCCAAGTGCGGGATATAATCTCCTGGTGCGCCGTTTTTTAAGCCCGTCGGAAAAGCGCAGTATTCGGGTGAGAGTGACCCGATTTTCCAGGTGCCCTCTGTCACCCCTTTCTTTGACTAGGAAAGGGAACTCCCTGACCCCTTGTGCTTCCTGAGTGAGGCAATGCCTCGCCCTGCTTCGGCTCACGCACGGTGCGCGCACCCACTGACCTGTGCCCACTGTCTGGCACTCCCTAGTGAGATGAACCTCAGATGGAAATGCAGAAATCACCTGTCTTCTGCGTTGCTCACGCTGGGAGCTGTAGACCGGAGCTGTTCCTATTTGGCCATCTTGGCTCCTCCCCCCATCTTCTCAGTTTTCTCAAGGCCTTCTTGTTCTCCAAGCCCTTAGCAGTTTCCATTTTTTTTTTGTTTGTTTGTTTGTTTGTGACAGAGTCTCGCTCTGTCACCAGGCTGGAGTGCAGTGGCATGAGCTCAGTTCACTACAACCTCTGCCTCCTGGGTTCAAGCGATTCTCCTAGCTTAGCCTCCCAAGTAGCTGGGACTACAGGCACATGCCACCACACCCAGCTAATTTTTGTATTTTTAGTAGAGATGGGGTTTTGTCATGTTTGCCAGGCTGGTCTTGAACTCCTTACCTCAGGTGATCTGCCTGCTTCAGCCTACCAAAGTGCTAGGATTACAGGTGTGAGCCACCGCACCTGGCCAGCAGTTTCCTTTTAAGAGCTGTGCATTCATTCATCCATTCATTTAATCATTCAACAACTATTTACTAAGCACCTACTATGTACCATGCGTTGTTCTAGGAGTTAGGAAGAGTGGAGAGCAAGCCAGCCATAGTCCCTTGTCCTCTGGTAATTTAGATTCCATTGAAAAAGGCCAACAATAAGCAAGTAAACAAATAAATTAACAAGATAATTATAGATTGTGATCAGTGCTTTGAAGAATACAAAGTGGGTAATATAAGAGGAATTAACTGGAGGAGGTGTGCACTACTTTTAATAGGATGTTAGAAAAAGCTCCTCTGAGAAGGTGAAGAGAGGGAGCCAGCAATGAGAAGAGTTGGGAGAGAGCAACAACAGCAGATGCAAAGACCCTGAAGTGGGAAAGATCTTGAACGTATGAAGTGGGATGACAATGGTTTGATGTGAGATTGGAGAGGTACTAAGAGCCAAGCTGTGTAGGACCTTAGGGACCAGGATAAGGAGTTGATCGTTGTTCTAAGAGCAGTGGAATGCCACTGAGTAGCTGTAAGTGTGATATTTACGTGGTCTAATGGATTGATTGATTGATTGATTGATTGTAGAGATGGGATCTGGCTGTGTTGCCCAGGCTGATCTCAAGCTCCTGGCTTCAATCAATCCTCCCACTTTGGCCTCATCTCCCAAAGAGCTGAGATTATAGGCATAAGCTACCACACTCAGCATGATTTATGTATTTTGAAGCTCATTTTGTCCTAGTAGTCTTTTCTCTCAGTTTTCTTTTTCTAATTCCTATTCCCCTTCACATTATTTACATTCAAGACGATCATCTCATTTCCATGTCCACTTCCCCATCGGGGAGAATAGGTCTTCCAAACAAGTTATTTATTAACCTGTACAAGGATCGCTAGTAAGTGCACCAAATATAGCTAATTTGATTCTGGCTCCCACCTCTATTAAAGACTTCAAAGAATCATAGATTTGTAGAATGCTAGAGTTGTAGGGAACATTAACAATGTGTAGTCTAGCCCTTACAATATGGATAAGAAAATTGATTCCCAGAGAGATGATCTTGCTGGTGTGTAAGTAGGGAAAACTTTCGGATCCTCATCTGTCAAGAATGCAGGAGCAGGTTCCTTCCTGTCTTTTAGGCGCCTGTTTCAATTAAGAAAAAAAAATATTGGCTGGGCACGGTGGCTCATGCCTGTAATCCCAACACTTTGGGAGGCTGAGTTGGGCAGATCACAAGGTCAAGAGATCGAGACCATCCTGGCCAACATGGTGAAACCCCGTCTCTACTAAAAATACAAAAGTTAGCTGGGCATGGTGGCACATGATGTAGTCACAGCTACTTAGGAGGCTGAGGCAGGAGAATTGCTTGAACTCAGGAGGCAGAGGTTGCAGTGAGCAAGATCACTCCACTGCACTCCAGCCTGGCGACAGAGCGAGACTCCGTCTCAAAAAAAAAAAAAAAAAAAAAAAAAAAAAAAAAAAAAAAGTCAGGATGTCCTAACTGGTTTATTGGCTTCAAGGTCAATCACCATAGGTCAGTAGTGCTGCAGCTACTGCTAGCATAGCAGCCACGGGCCCAGCTGCCCTACCCCCATGCACATTTCATGTTTATTGGGGCTCATCCATGCTCTTCTATAGGAAAATAGCCTCTACCTCACTTCTGCATTTCAAATCTCATAGAAATACATTTAGTTGGAAGGACTTATTTCATGTCCAGAATCCTAGCTCCAAAAATTCTGAGAAATAGAGTTTTTTACTTTTCAATCTCTTCAATAGAAAGGAAATGAGGTCATTCCATATATGTAGGTTTGGCAGATAAAATGCAGAACATCCAGTTAAATTTGAATTTCAGATAAACAATGATTTTTTAGTATAAGTATCTCCCAAATACTGCATGGGGCATACTTACACAAAATACTTGTTTATTATTTATCTAAAATTCAGATTTAAATGGACATCCTGTACTTTTATTTGATAAATCTGACATTTTGACAAATCTCCAGCACAGAGACTGAGAGCAGAAGTCCTTAATTTAGATGGGGGACATTGAGGAAGGCCCATCTTCCAAGGTGATATTTAAGGGGAGACCTGAGAGATGAATAAGAGATCATCATGCTCAAAGAGGAGAGAAGGGCATTGCAGGCACAGGTAACAGCTTTGCAACAGCCTAGAGGCAAGAACAATTTGGGCTAATTTAAGCAAAGTTGACACATGATGAGTTAGGAGTAAAGATGGCACAAGATAATAATGAAGACGTAGGCAGAGACTAGAGCAAGTGAAATCTTAAGTTTTAGTAGTGGAATAAACAAGAGTGGAATGGGGGAGACCCAGGGTCACTACCTGCTAATGGCATTCCCAGAGTTGTATACGGCAGTCATCCCAAAGAGAGAAAACTATGCCAGTAATTTAGGTGAGAAAGGATGATGGCTTGAGATAGTGGGATCCAGTGGAGCTGAAAATGAGCAGGCCAATTTGAAGTGTATTTTGTAGATAGAATTGACAAAAACATTGAAGTGGCCTTTGGGTGATGAGGGAGGGGAAAATCAATCATGAATTTCTAATTTCTGGAATGGATGACTGTGTAATTGCAAGGCTGTTACAGAAATGGGCTACATACTTAATGAGCTTTGGATGTTGAGATGGGATCACAAGAGAGGGGGTAAAGACAAAGTGATGAGATATTTTGTTTCAGTTGGACCACAGTCCACAATAACTGCTTCTCCTCTCTGCAGAATATTCACTAACATGCACGAGACCTGTTTGCTCTGTCCTTCTCTCCTTCCTCCCTGCCCTCCCCTTCATCATTTTCTCCTTTTTATTCTCTGTCCTTTCTTTCTGTTCTGTAGTCATCCTATTTCCTTGACAGAATCGAAGCCTCAGCCAGTGAGATAGATGGAGTGTAGGCAGCTAGAAATGGAAAGGATTCCTGTGCTTCTGTGATTCACAGTCTCCCAGTGGGCCTTTAAACCATTTAACCTCTGTTGTCCAGACCCCAGGAAGAGGGGAGGCTGGAAGAGGGAAAAGAACTTGGACTGGAGCAGCAGGGGAGGCCCTGGAGGAAGGAGCAGGTATCATCCTCCAGCAAATGGGCAATCCATTAGTCCAAACTCCTCATTTTAAAATTGAAAAAACTGAAGCCTTTGCCCATTTTGACTAAACCAGATAAGAAATTATACAGTATGAAGGAACATTGACACCACTTAGAAACAGTAGGGTGTCAAGATTTGACTTGACTCTTGTTAGTTTTGTGACTATAAAGTGAAAACAATTATATCAAAAAATTTGTTTTAGGGATGATAAAAGTAATTTATACTTATTCGTTCAAAAGTACTTATTAAGGACCTACTATGTGCAGATACAGTGTTGAAAGCTAGGGACTCAGTGGAGATCAACACAGACAGGAACCTGGCCTCATGGGAATTCTAAACTCTAGCGGGGAGAACAGCTCATTAACAAATAAATAAGTGTAATGTATGGTAGGTACCACGAAGCAACATAAAGCTGGGAAGAAAGACACAAATGCTAGCATAGTTTTCTCTCTTTGGGATGACTGCCTTATACAACTCTGGGGAATGCCATTAGCAAGTAGTGGCCTCGGATCTTCCCCCATTGCACTCTTGCCTATTCCACTACTAAAACCTAAGTTTTTGCTTGCTCTAATCTCTAAGTCTTCATTATTATCTTGTGCCATCTTTACTCCCAACTCATCATGCGTCAACTTTGCTTAAATTAGCCCAAATTGTTCTTGCCTCTAGGTTGATGCAAAGCTGTTACCTGTGCCTGGGATGCCCTTCTCTCCTCTCTGAGCATGATGATCTCTTATTCATCTCTCAGGTCTGCCCTTAAATATCACCTAGAGAGATGGGCCTTCTCAATGCTGGATGGAGTGCTGGATGGAGTAGATAGAGTTACAATCTCAATAGATTCTATTTGAGCAAAGATTTGAAGGTGGTAAGAGAAGTCGTCAAGTGCTTATCTGAAGGAAGGATCATCCAGATGAAAGGAAAGGCAGAGGCAAAGGCTGTGATGCTGAAGCTGCTGATGTGTTTGAGATTTAACATGAGGCCATGTGGCTGGAGCAGAGGGAGCAGCGGGTGTGGAGTAGGAAGTCAGAGATGGGACTGGCCGACTGTGCAGGGCTTTGTCATTGTCAGGACTTCATTCAGTACTGGGTGAGGTGAGCCTACCAGGGGTTGGAGTTGGTGGGAAGGGGCTGACTTCTGGACGTGAGTTACTGCATTGGTTGTGGAGTGTGAGAGCAAAGGAGGAGGCAGGAAGCTCTAACGAATTTGGCCCCACCATGGGGAGGATGGAGCTGCCAGTGACTGCAGTGGGAAGAACTGTGAGGAGCTGGCCTGGGCAGGAATATCAGGGGTGGCATGTTGGACATGTGAAGCCAGGAGGCCTGTGGGCCATCCAACAGTGCTGTGAACTGTGCAGCCCGATGTAAGCATATCTGACATTAGGAGTGGTGGAGAAACAAAAAGAACAAGGATAGTTCATTTTAACACAGTAATAATTTTATAATTTTATAATTTTCAAATCATTAAAGATTTTACTACTTTCTTAACTACTCCAGGAGCCTGTGTCACATTCCAGTCACAGGGAGGAAACTGGGGGCCATGCAGGATAAAGGTCAAAGCCTGCATGCTGGGACTCAAGTGCTTCCTCCCCAACAGTATTAGAACACCAACTCCCAGGAGCACAGAGACTTGAAGAGAGTGTCCGGGTCGTGGACTATGAGTCAGAGAAACCAAGCCAGGGGCATGCAAGGCAGCACGAGGCAGAGCAGGGAAACCCAGCAAGGGAGGTGGCAACGCAGAGTGACCTAGAAAAGCCTGATGAACTGAGAGCCAGCCGACAACAGGCCCCATGTGCCTCTGTGTCTTGGTCCACATGATAGACTCTCCCTCCCTCCCTTCCTTCCTCTCCTCTGGTGACCAGTAGCTAAAACATCACTGGCACGCTGCTGGCATCCAGCCTGCCAATTAGTTCAGGAGCCACTCCCTCTGACTGCCTCCTGAGCCTCAGATGTTACCTCCCCTGTCTCCCAAACACACCCCTCCAGCTCTGTCCTGCCTGCCCTGAATCTCTGGAAGGAAAACTTGCCCTGGGACCTGCCTTGGACTCTCTGGTTCCCCTCATCCAGCCCCTCCCTGCGCAGAACATGGCATGGCATCTCGTGCCCTTTTATCTGCCATTTCTGGCCACCTTTGCAAGCGTCCTTGAAACCAGCGCTTGGTAGAGTTATCCACACCCATGTGAGGCTCCCCTGCCCCCTGGGTGGTGTATGTGGCAGGAGGAGCAGGGAGGAGCTTCAAGGAAGCAGAGGGAAAGGAACCTATAAGAGTTCTTGGGATGGCTTCCAGGAAGCTGTGAGGACAGAGCTATGCTGAAAGGAGAAAGGCAAAGGCTACAGAAAAGTGAACACTGAAGAGGAATTAGGCAAGAACAAAGCCTACCAAGTTAGAAGAAGGGAATGAGAGGGCGAAACAACAGCACCAGAAAGGAATGAGGTTGCCGGGCACGGTGGCTCATACCTGTAATCCCAGCACTTTGGGAGGCCGAGGCAGGCGAACCACCTGAGGTCGGGAGTTCAAGACCAGCCTGACCAACATGGAGAAACCCTGTCTCTACTAAAAATACAAAATTAGCTGGGTATGGTGGTGCATGTCTGTAATCCCAGCTACTCAGTGAGGCTGAGGCAGGAGAATCGCTTGAACCCGGGAGGCGGAGGTTGTGGTGAGCCGATGCGCCATTGCACTCCAGCCTGGGCAACAAGAGCAAAACTGCATCTCAAAAAAAAAAAAAAAGAAGAAAGAAAGAAAGAAAGAAAGAAAAAGAAAAAGAAAGGAATGAGGATCAGGAGTCCGGGGGAGAGACATGATCTTACAGAACGGGCTGGACCTGGGGAGAGGATTTTGTCAGAACTATGGAAAGTTTGAAATGAGGTTGAAGAAGGAGTGATGGTAATACTTTTTACATTTTTAGAACATCTTCTTATATTTTATTTCATCATTCATTCATCATAGATCTCATTACCCCCATTTTACGGATCAAGAAACTGAGGCTCAGAGAGGTGATGTGAGTTGTCCAAGATCACACAGCTAATAAGAAGGTACATTCTCCTCTATACCACAGAGCACCTCTTCTGTGTGTGGCATATTACATAGAAAAATGAGATTAGACATTTAAAAGTTGAGGATTCTCATCCAGCAAACACTTATGGGGCACTTTTTATGTGCCAGGCAATATGCTAAGCACTGAAGATACTAAGACAACCTGCTTTCAAAAGATTGACCTTCTGGTTAAGGAGTGATATCAGTGGTGCAAACCAGGTAGGGGGCGGGGCTGCCCATAGGCTGAGGGCTCCTCTGGGAGAGGGCAGCTTAGGGAAGCTTTTACAGCGGATGTCTGGGAAGAAGGGAACCACTTCCCCAGTGGATGGTGGAAGGGGATAGCAGAGGGCATTTCAGGGAAAAGCAAGCAAGCAGAGTGTGTGGGAGAGCTCCAAGGAGTTGAGATCCACAAAAGAGGGATGTGTAGGGAGCTGGATGGAAAAGCTAAAGAAATAATGGGGAGAATAGTGATATTAATTAAATTCGTGATCTGTTTAAAACCATTGCATAGGGCAAGGCACAGTGGCTCATGCCTATAATCCCAGCACTTTGGGAGGGTGAGGCAGGAGGATCACTTAGCCCAGGAGTGAGAGACCAGCCTGGGCAACATAGCAAGATTTGTCTCAATGAAAAAAAATACTAAATGTTTTTAAAAGGCACAATGCATAGCTGTAATAAGAGTTGAGGAGGAATCTTACAACTACAGTGTTAAAGGAGACAAAGGGTGTTTCTTCATTATGTTGCGGTGATGGAAACTTAAATGAGATAAGGATATATTTGAGTCTTCCTATATGCCAGATGGCATGCAAAATGTTTTTATATACATTATGTAATTGAATTCATGTAACAGTGAAAAATAGTGAAGATGACCTATTTGGGTTGACATGAGAAGATCTATAAGATCGTGGTTAAAAGAAAAAGTCAGTGCAGAACATTATGTACTATAAATTATGACCCATAGTAAAGAAACACATACAGGGGAAGGGTTTTGGTCAGAGGGAGTACAGAGCCAGGGCAGCCAAGAGAAGGAGGTATGTCTGAGCCTGGTGCAGGCTGCGTGCCTAGGGCTGGCACTGAGAGGGACATGGAGCTTGTCATACTGAGGGCATAACTCAATCCTGTTACACTAGGCAAGTCTCAGAGAATTTTCAAGTGGAAGTGAAACACACTCTGGTGACACAGGTTGTAGAGATTGTTCTGTCTGCAGGTGGATAGATTGGAGGCAGGAGGAGAGCAGTCAGGTAGGAGAGATCCCGAGGGGTGGACAAGCCTGGCCCCTGGAAACAGAGTCGGGGGAGAGGAAGCAAGGGTGAGAAACTGGGCTGAGGAAATGAGTGGGTGACAGATCTTCACATGGCTGGTAGGGGGAAAAAAAAGGAACACAGAACACAATTAGATTATTTTCAGGATTTTCATCGCAGTTATATATGCAAATAAAAAGTTAAACAAGTTGATGAGTTAATTTTTTTAAATGGCAGCCCTCACCCCCATCTCCACTACTTTCAACTCTTTTAGCTGTTTTGGTGTTCACCTTCACATCTGTAAATACAAGGATTATATTATTACTATTTGCTCTTCTAATTTTAGGCATTATCTATTATTGATTTGCTGTTATCAAAGATATAGCTTTTTCTTGTAACCACAACCTCACTTGATCCCACAAACACATATCCTCACTATTCCCACTGTCCCTGGTTTATAGCTATTTCAAATACACACACACACACACACACACACACACACACACACACATTTCTATGTGTATAAAACACAAATATGTAAATACAAACATGTCCTGAAGGATCAAATCAAACTAGGATTCAGGAAGATCATAGCTAAAGAAGACTTTCGGCTTGCACGGTGGCTCACACCTGTAATCCTAGCATTTTGGGAGGCCAAGGTGGGCGGATCACCCAAGGTCAGGAGTTCGAGACCAGCCAGACCAACATGGCAAAACCCCATCTCTACTAAAAGTACAAAAAATTAGCTGGGTGTGGTGGTGGGCACCTGTAATCCCAGCTACCTAAGAGACTGAGGCAAGAGAAGCCCTTGAACCCGGGAGGCTGAGGTTGCAGTGAGCTGAGATGTGCCACTGCACTCCAGCCTGGGTGACAGAGCAAGGCTTCATAAAAACTTCATAAAAAAAAAAAGAAGAAGAAGAAGAAGATTTGAACCAAAAGGTAGAGAAGCACAAGACAAGAGGCTGTGAAAAAGCAAGTCATGCATTGGTGAGTATGTGTGTGGAGGGCAGGGATGAGGAAAATTTCAGAACAGAATCAATTCAGCCTTGTGCAGAAAGGAATAATGAAGGCAGGAGGCAGCAACTTCAGGGCTGTCTGATTTGAAGGAAATATTAAAGCCTTTATCAGGAAAGGGGAATCACTAACAGTCAGACAGAAGCACCAGACTGAAGGAAAAAAGATCACAGCCCCATATCCTTAGAGAGTATCAGAGACCTCAGATGCCAGGCATCTGCCATGCTGTTGATTTACTCTGCAGTGAGTCACTGGATCCTTGAAACTGGGGGCAAGGGTGAGATCATTACCCCAGAAGGCAGGGAGCAGAGACAACAAGGCCCTTGGGGTCCAGGCAGCTGAACCCGTCTGGTCAGAGGACACTGTCACAAAACCAACAAAGAATTCATATCTAATAGGTTTTCCTCAGGGCTCAGATGAGTAGGTTTGGGAGTTACTGGGAGGCTGTGATACCAGGCAGGATGACAAACAAAAACAGTCAGCCAAGAAAACAAGCTTCAGAGTGTTTGCCCTGGGAGAACAAGGGATGTCCGGGTAGAGCCAAAGCCACTGGCTCCTCCCTCCCCACAACTCAGAGCCACCAGGGACCTGGGCCATGTGTCCCTTTCCATGACCATGGGGTGTGTGACTGCGGGAGGCTGAAAGTGTCAGCACTGTGACCTGGAAATATATGCCTGGATTGGGGAGGTGGACACCTTGGAAATAAACTCCAGACTTCCTCTATTTGAAAAATTTTGTGGCCGGAAGCGTTGGCTCAAGCCTGTAATCTCAGCACTTTGGGAGGCCGAGGCAGGTGGATCACGAGGTCAGGAGATCGGACCAACTGGCTATGGTGAAACCCCATCTCTACTAAACAAAATACAAAAAATTAGCCGGGCGTGGTGGCAGGCACCTGTAGTCCCAGCTACTGTGGAGGCTGAGGCAGGAGAATGGCATGAACCCGGGAGGCAGAGCTTGCAGTGAGCCGAGATCGCACCACTGCCCTCCAGCCTGGGCAACAGAGCAAGAGTCTGTCTCAAAAAAAAAAAAAAAAAAAGAAAAAAAAAAAAGAAAAGTTTTTTGCATTGAACTGGATTCTGCACATATCTATACACATGCTCCAATCCCACTAATTCATCTTTTTTCCCAATGCCCAACCTAAACACTGAGAGAAAAAAAAAGAGCAGCCTCTGACATTCAGAAGTTGGCCTAACAGAGCTAAACCATGTTATTCACCTAGTAGGCATAAACTATATTACAGAATACCAATCTCAGACAAGTTTACTCCTAGACCTTGATAAAGTGAGACAATGCAAGGCTGCTTCACAAGTTTTTCTGAGCACAGATCCAAAAAAAGACACTGTGCCACCCACAAAATACCAAACACCCCTTCTCTTGGTTAACAGAAATGTTTGCTACTTCTTTACCAATTATAGCTTTCCCCTCGTTCTAGTCTCCCCTCCCTATAGAAAATATTTATTTGGGTATTCATTCACAGGATCTGCTCTGCTTTCTAACAGCATTAATCCAGAGCAAACCCCCACTTCCTTAGACCTTTCCCCAAATCACCTAACCAAAACCCAAACCCTATCATAGGTTTTTTCCTAACACTCTTATTAAAATGTCCCACACTCCCCATGGGGTGCATTCTCCATTGCTGCAAGGAGTAATAAACCCAGCATGTTTAATGACAGTTATGTTCCTGGGGGGTCTTTGGCTGGAAAACACGGGTAACACTCAGTGTTCTTTGCTTCCTTCTTAACTCTCTGGGATCTACATTGAAGACCTGGCCCCATGTTGTGTGGGAGAAGCTGGTACAAAGGCAGGAGGTGCTCTTAGAAAGGACAAAACCAGTAATGCATTCACTCAACAAATATTTATGGAGCACCCACACATGCCACAGACTGTTCTAGGTACCAAGGACAATAGACAAATAAAGCAGGATCCCTGAATTTTTAGGAAGCTCTCAGTTGGGGTAGAGGTGAGAAACACACATAAACAGATCGTCTTGATTGTGGAGATTAGTGCAGTGATCAAGGTATGCCCTGGGGACTGCTATGTGCTTATAGATGTGGTGCCTAAACCAGTGTCGGAGAGGAGTGGGGGATCAAGAAAGGCTTTCAGGGAAGGAGGCGTTTGAGGCCCTGGAAGGCTGAGGACAAGCTAAGAAGAAGGAACAATGAAAGCGGGTCAGGGAGATGTAAACAGTGTGGTGAGTGGGGAATTTTAGGCAATTTGGCCTTTCTGGAGTGAAAAATGGGAAGCAGGTGGGGGCAGGGGTTAGGCTGAAGGCAGGCCAACGTGGAGTTCAGGCTTTATCCTTTAGAGAAGGGAGGCATTATTGAAAGTCCAACAAGTTCTAACATGACCAGATTATATTTTTAGAAATCATTTGAATATCTGCAACTTACTTTAAAATGCATAAAATTATAAGATGGATAGAAGGATGAAGGAATGGGTCGACGGAAACATATTTGATAAAGCAAGTACAGTAAAATGCTAATGAGAAAATGTAGGTGGTAATATTTGGATGGTCACTGTAAAATTCATTCAACTCTTCTGTCAGAAGATTTTCAAAATAAAATTTTAGAAAAGCATAGACTTTGGCCTGGGTAATGGAAGATGGATTGGGCAGAATAAGTCTGGAGGCAGGGAAATGAGAAAGGCAGCTGTCATAATCCAGGTGAGGGCTGATCTAGACAGTGCTAGGAGGAAGATGGGTGGAGTCCTGTGGTAGGCGCTAACATCAAGGAGGTTGGGGCCTCAAGGACTGTAAGAATGAGGAAGAAGAAAGAGTTGAAGATAACACCTAGGTTGGGTGACTGTGTGGGGGTTGGTAGCAACAATGAGTATAAAACAGGCAGCAGGATCAGGTCTGGGAAGGGGGACAAGATGACTTCATGACCCCAGAGTTTCTATGGGAATATGCTTTGGGAGCTTGCAGACCCCTGGCTCCTCAAGGGGGCCACTCTGGTGGGGGAAGGGACTCAGTACCGTGGATCTCCATCTCTTGACACTTGCCCCAGTTTTCACTGGATTTCCCCAGGAGTGGAGTGGCTCTTACTCTCCCTCCCTAGGGAGCAGCTCTTCCACCCTCCTAATGACTTCTCCACTCCTGCCATGCTTTTTCCTCTTTTAGCTTTTGAAAACCATCTTTCTCCTTTCTCTGGTTTTCCAAGCCAGATACTCAAATTTGACCCTCCCTGGAGAGTACACCCTCTATGCTCACTATCTCTTTTCCCTTCTGCTCATCTTAGCATCCCCCAAGTGTTGCCCTTGGCTCTTTTCCAATACCATTGTTTCTTTTTTATGTTCTCGCTTTCCTGTGGGTGACAGATTATGGAGTTGTGGGTTGAATTTTGTCTGCCAAGGACATATTGAAGTCCTAGCCCCAGGTACCTACGTATGTGGCTTTATTCAAAAATAGGGTCTTGGCCAGATGAGGTGGCTCACCCCTGTAATCCCAGCACTTTGGGAGACCAAGGTGGGCAGATTGCTTGAGCTCAAGAGTTGGAGACCGGACTGATCAACATAGCAAAACCCTGTCTCTACAAAAAATACAAAAATTAGCCAGGCATGGTGCTGTGTGCCTGTAGTCCCATGTGCTGTGTGCCTGTAGTCCCACCTACTCGGGAGGCTGATGTGGGAAGATCACTTGAGCCAGTGAGGTGGAGGTTGCAGTAAGCCGAGATCATGCCACTGCACTGCAGCCTGGGTGATAGAGCCAGACCTTGTCTCAAAAAAGAAGGAAAGAAAGAAAGAAAGAAAGAAAGAAAGAAAGAAAGAAAGGAGAAAGGGAGGGAAAGAAGGAAGGAAGGAAGCAAGGAAAGAAGGAAGGAGGGAGGGAGGGAGGGAAGGAAAGAAGGAAAGAAAGAGAGAGAGAAAAAGAAAATAGGGTCTTTTCATCAAGTTCAGATGAGGTCATATTGGATCAGGGTGGGCCATTATAAGAGGAGGGAAATTTTGACACAGACACATGGGAGACGGCCATGTGAAAATGCTGTCAGAGATTGGAGTGAGGCATCTACAAGCCAAAGAATGCCACGGATTGCCCGCAAACACCAGGAGCTAGAAGAGGCAATGAAGCATTTTTTCCTAGAGCCTTTGGAGAGAGCATGGCTCTGCTGACACCTTGACTTCAGACTTCTTGCTTCCAAAACTGTAAGAGAATGTGTCATTGTTTCAAGCCACACAGTCTATGGTGATGTGTTATGGAAGCCCTAGGAAACTAATATAGCAGATAAGTTGTGTGTGTGTGTGTGCATGTATACGTGTGTGTGTGTCCGTCTGTGTAGGGAAATACCGTGGAAAGTTACTATTTGTTATAGCCATTTTATCATATATTTTATGAGATTTTATCTTTTCAAGTCAACTTTGCATGTGCTTTGTGTTGAAAGACCTGAGTTTGAACATTCATACCATATTTGGAATATGGGAATGTAACGATACCTAATTTAAGCAGTTGTGAGAAGCAAATGGAATAATGTATCTGAATCCATTTAATAAACTGTTCAACATTGTAAACATGCTGTTAGTAGTATCATAACTGTGTGAAGAGGCAGAAAACACTTTGGACTGGGGGATGGAAATCTTGGCC
>NT_167244.2:1367781-1391292 GCF_000001405.40 Homo sapiens
GGCCAACATGGTAAAACCCCGTGTCTGCTAAGAATACAAAAATTAGCTGGGCGTGGTGGTGGGGACCTGTAATCCCAGCTACTTGGGACTTGGGCCTAGGAGGCGGAAGTTGTAGTGCGCCAAAATCGCGCCACTGTACTCCAGCCTGGGCAACAGAGCAAGATTCCATCTCAAAAAATAAAATAAAATAAATAGAAGAAGGGTAAAGTACTTTTTCCATTAAACACAACTTTATTGATTTGGTAAGACTATATTTTACTTTAACAATTGACAATTTAGCATCTGAATTGAGATGTGCCAAAGTGAAAAATATACACACAATTTCAAAGACTCAGTGTAAAAAAAAAAAAAAAAAAACCACCAAAAACCCAGAATGTGAAATATCTCATTAATACTTTTAAAATATTCATTACAGGCTGAAAGGATAATATTTCAGATATATTGAGTTAAAATATTTTATTAAAATTAATTTCACTTTTATCATTTTAATGTGACTAACTAGAAAAATTTGTAATTCCATATGTGGCTGAAACTACATTTCTAAATCACACATGTGGCCAGAATTATATTTATGAATTACATATGTGGCTCACATTTTCATTCTAATACATGCGGCTCACATATTGCTATTGGACAGCACTGGGCTAGAGGTAGGATGGTTGGGGCAATCTCAGGTATTCTGCCAGTGGTCCATGCTCTGACCTGAGACTAGGGATGGGCTGCTACCTCTCTGCAATTCTGCCCCCAAGGGACTCACCTCCAGCAGCTGCCTGGGTGGCATGTTCTGCTTGGTCTTCAGGGAATCAACGAGCTTCTTGAGATCGTTCAACTGTGGCTCAGTGGAGGCAACATAGTGTTTCCCCGCTTCCGTTCCCTCATGACCCAGCCAGTAAATCCGTGATAGCAGGAAATTCTTCTCCTCCTCTAGGACTTGATGCAGGAGTTCAAATTCTGTGAGGATCCTTTGCTTCTCATGTTCTACCTGGTCCTAAGAAACAGGGACAGGCAGAGGGTGAGAGGATGGCCTCGAAGGTCCTTCTAGCCCACTTTATTCAGCCATTAATTTTATTAAGTTTGTGTGGAATTCCCAACCAGAGCAATGTGCCAGGGCAGACCTGGAAGAAAGGAAAGGAGAGGAGAACAAACTTCTAAAAGCACCTACTACGTGCTCAGCTTTAAGCGAAATTATTAATTTATGGTTTACCACTTGCCTTCAAGGAACTGTCTAATACAATTCCAGAAGGCTTTTCAGTTTATAATCTTTCATATAGATTTTATTCCTTTCACGCACACAGGAAAATAGGTAAGTGGGGTCACAATGTCTTCATTTTCCTTCTGTCTTTTTTTTTTTTTTTTTTGAGACAGTCTCTCACTCTGTCACTCAGGCTGGAGTGCAGTGCACGATCACGGCTCACTGCAGCCTCATCCTCCCAGGCTCAAACAATACTTTCACCTCCCAGCCTCTCTAGTAGCTGGGACTACAGGCGTGTGCTACCACGCCCGGCTAGTTTTCTTTCTTTTTTTTTTTAATTAAGAGGAGAGTCTCGCTATGTTGCCCAGGCTGGTCTCAAACTCCTGGGCTCAAGCGATCCTCAGCCTCCCAGAGTGCTGTGATTACTGGCGTGAGCCACCGCGCCCGGCCAATGTCTTCATTTTCTAATTGGGGAATCCGTTGAGGGCGCAGCTCGGCCTTAAAAACCTGTACTTGCGATTCTAAGACCAGCGCGGGTTTTCCGTGCCCCACCTTGTCTGCCGGTGGAGACTGAGCAGTCAGCCCGCTGTAATAGCGAGGCCGACGCGGGAGGTGATGCCGCCTGGCCGGTCAGGTGCTGAGGCGCCGAGGAGAGGACATGGCTCACTGGATCTTTTTCTGAGGGGTCAGTGTAATAGGGGATTCCAGGAGCTTTGGCAGAGATGTTTCTGCTTCCAGAGATCGTGGGATGGAGTTTTTCTTACCGTGAAGACATCGACCCTGTGTACACCTTGTGCCTTCACTTGTACTGTCTCCTTCTCCTTTTGCTGCAAGACTTGGATCTGCTCTTGAATCTGCCCCTGCGGAAAGAGGGCCGTTTGGACAGGCTGTGCCTGGAGATTTCTGGCCTCATAAAATCCTCCTGGTCTCTTAGGAGAGCTGGTGACACTCTCCAGGTGAGTCCTTGTGTAATTATTAAGGACTCGCCTTTCTCAAGCTGGCGGGGAAAGGGGTTGCTGAGAAGGGAGAAATCTGGAGCCTAAGTGACCTAAATGACCAGAACATAGTTATTTATGACTAACTAGGACTATGGATGGTGCTTTGGAATTATCAAAGAACTACAAACTTCCCTTCATCTGTCCTACCAACAACTTTAAGAGAGTTGTTTTGTTTTTGCCATTTGAAAGGTGAGGTACCTGAGGCTCAGAGAGGTAAAGTGATTCCTTGCAGGTTGTACAGTAAACTCACAAGACTGGGCTTGAGCCCAAACCTTCTGAGTCAAATTTTCACATCCTTTCCATTCTCCATTGCACCTTGATTTAGAGAGTCAGCAGTTCCCCAGACTCAGCTCTTTGAACCCACTGTGCCTGACTGCGAGCTGCCCACTCAAGCCCAAGGGGTGGGGGCAATGGGGTGCAAACCCTCAGTGGGAAGGTAGCAGTTTCCAGGGCCTCACTGAACTCCTGGGCTGATGGGGGAACAGGGAAGAAACCTCAAATGCCTACCTGATAATTCTGGGCAGCTTCTTCGATCAAGCTGACATTATGGGATTTGTGGTCCTTGGATTCACGACACACAAAACAGAGGAACTTCCCATCATCCTCGCAGAAATAGTGGAACATCTCCTGGTGCCTCGGGCATGTAGCCTCTTTCCTTTTGGACTGCACCTCAGAGGCTTGTAGAGCTTGGATTTTCTCCACCAGATTCCGCAACAGCGAGTTGAACCTGATTGCGTTCTTCCTTACGGAAGTTTTGCAGAGGGGACATTTGAAAAATCCACATGATGTTTCCCCAATCTGAGTGATGCATTTGAGGCAGAAATTGTGCCCACAGTCGATGGTGACAGGTTTCTGCAGAATGTCCAGGCAGATGGGGCAGATCACTTCCTCTTGCAGTTTGTTCACAAACTGCCCACTGGCCATGACAGAACAACAGGGCTGTTTCAAGACTGTAGGAAGCTGTGCCAAGTCTGTAGGAGCCCCGGAGTCCACTGTGGATACTGTTTCTAGGAAGGGAGAAGGGAGTCAGAGAAAGTGGAGGTCAGAGATTCTGCCAATTAGTTAGAAGAGCAGAGAGAGAGGAAAAGAAGAGGGAGAAAAAAATAAAGAAATGATAGAAAAGCGTAAAATTTAGGATCTAGAAAATATTATAAAGAGAGGAAAACAGATGGGCAGTCCTACCTTGCTACCTCTTGAGAACAAATGGATACTTTGAATGTGTAATAGGCTGCTTATAAAGTGAAATAAGTTGTCCTGAACTTTGGACTAAAGGTATGTTTGTATGGTGGTTGACTAAGATCAGAATGACCGGGGCACCAAACACCACTTATGGGGGATTTCCCAATCAGCTCTGAGTAGGGAGTGGAGGGGTGGGTGGTGATGCCTACTGAAAGGTCACAGCCAGTTCACTGCAATGCTTTGGGCATCTTGTATGCAAAGTTCAAGCCTTGGTAGAGCATCTGGAAAGTAGGGGAAGGGCAATTCTCTACCTCAGGTGCTTTGGCTCCTCACAGAATTTTGTGAAAATGTGGAGGTTATCATCACCTACCTTGGGGAATTTCCAGTCACAGGGTCAACCAACCACTCCCTAGCTCAGTAGGATAGGCAAGGAACTTCCTTTCTAAAGAGTTGTTCTTTGTTTTTGCACTTTGCTCTTGCCCCTGGTGATCTTCTGTCTCCCCACAACACCTGTAGTAGTCTGTCCTCTGTTGATTTTTTCTCTGTATGTCTCCAGTATGCTGGTGTCTCCGTGCCCATTCTTTGCTTTGCCAATTCTGTCTATATGTTCTTCTTCTTCCTTCTTGGTGCTTCTCTGATCCCTGACTTGCCTTCTATGGCTTTTGTTATGACTAGGAATATATCAACCAGTGTTACATACATTCCCTTCTGTACATTCATGTCCTAACCTTCCCTCCTTGCCTCTTGTCTTAAGGAAAAGGGTGCTTCCTCCCTACCCCTTCTCTTGGTATAGCTTCCACCCTCACCTCCTCACTCTCCATTATCAGCCGTCTGTCCCCAGCAAGAAGTACACCATTAATTTTTGTCTGATCTTAATCTTAGGTCAAACAGGGCTTGTGGATGACTATTATAATAATAGCCAGAGTGATCATACACTCTGCTTTGCCTGGAACCATCCTGGGTTTCACTTTGTCCTGGTGTAATTATTAATAGCACCTCCTTTCACTTTCAGAAATGTCCAGTTTGGACTATAAATTATGTGGCTCCCCTTATAGCAACTGCTGTAAACCAAAGACTTTCAGAAATGTTATACCTCCAGACCTTTCTTTTTGTTTGTTTTAGGGTTAAATTAAAACAGTCTAACATCTGTAAATTGTTTTACTTACACTCCTAAACTGCTGGCCCCTAGAAGCAGAATTTAACTTTTGACAGGTTTTGTTTGACTGGCATGATGATTTAGAAAATAATGATAATGTAGATGCCTTTAGAGAGGGTGGCTATGTTCCCCACCGCTCTGCTACCTCACGTCTCCTTGGCCCTTGAAGGCATTTGACATTATGACTCTGATTTATAGATTTATTTTGCTTATATTACCTCATTTAAGTCTCACCTGTAAGAAATTATCTTTATCCTTTCTCAAAAAAGGAACTCAGTATTCTTCAGAATCACTTGGAAAACTTGTTAAAATTCAGATTTGCTGAACTCCAGTAGAGACTTTCTCTTTCAACAGGTCCTTGGTGGAGCCTGATGATTGACATCTTAAGCAAATTCTCTGGAGAAGTCGATGCTCCTGATGGAGGCTCACACATTGATAACCCCTGGTTTAGAGACACTACTAATTGTTCCAGCTCATCCAGCTAATAAATGACAGATCTCAGACTTAATTCCAGGTTTCCTATTCCACATTAAGTCTTCTTTATTCTTTCTTGTTTCAGCATTAATGAAAACAAATAGTAATCTTTAAAAATGATAAACAAATATTTTAAAAGAACATTGGTATTTCAATGAAGCTGGGCAACCCAGCAGAGAGAATGAAAATACTCATATGAACACCACTGGAGAGTTTCAAAGAACTGTCACCAAACAGGTACTGATGGCTTCATGAGGAAGGAAATTTAGACATAAAAAATGAGAATCTACAGTGTTTCAAAGGTGCTTTACTCTCTCAGAATTATTATTGTTATCCTGGGTCATCCATCCACTGGACTGAATGGAGATATATATATACATATATTTTTTTTCTTTCTTCTTTCTTTTTTTTTTTTTTGAGACAGAGTTTCACTATTATTGCCCAGACTGGAGTGCAATGGCGTGATCTCGGTTCACTACAACCTCTGAATCCCCGGTTCAAGTGATTCTCCTGCCTCAGCCTCCCAAGTAGCTGGGATTACAGGCACCTGCCACCACATCCAGCTAATTTTTTGTATTTTTAATAGAGACGGGGTTTCACCACGTTGGCCAGGCTGGTCTTGAACTCCTGACCTCAGATGACCCACCTGCCTCAGCCTCCCAAAGTGCTGGGATTACAGGCGTGAGCCACTGTGCCCAGCCCTTGAATGGATATCTTAAACTCTTAGTAGGCTCAGTAGTCTGAAACCAAATGCCTCCAATTTGCAAGGGCTAGGGTCTTGAGATAGTTGGTATTGTGTTAGTTCCAAAGGACTTCCAAGCCAATTCTGAGGCATAGAGTTTATAAAAATTAGCCATAGAACAGGAAATGATGCAGAGCCTCATGCACATGAGACAGCTGTCACACACAAGAAAGCAGACACAGAGCCATGCAGCAGCGAGTGCACAGATCTGGAGGGGACCTGCCAAGACTAATGGGATGAGACACCTTATCAGAGGCCAGTGAAGGCTAGAGGCAGCTCAGTTGTCAGACTAGACAGCCCCACAATGTTACATAAGCCTCCCTGCATCACGATTCCAGCTACAGAAGCTTCCCCTGCCTCAGGATTCACATTTCCGGGCCTATGTGAATTGGTAGAATGTCTATGGAGGAAAATAATGTGATATGTTTCAAAACTACAAATGCTCATTCCCTTTATCCCAGAAATTCCACCTCTGGGAATTTAGTCTACAGATATACTCACACATATAAATTTATTTTGGACTTTGTGGTAATGTTTGCATTAGCAAAATATTAGAAAACAATCTAAATGTACATCAGTATGGAAATGTTTAAATAAATTATAGCCCAGCTTTATAACAGAATAGAAATAAAAAAGAATCAGGGAGTTCCTTATTTACATATGGAAAATATGGCCAAGATATGTTGTTATGTGAAGAAAGGAAAAAACAAATAATGCAGAAAAATGCATGTACTATGCTACCATTTGGGTAGAAAAAAAATACTTATTTTCTTGAATATCCAAATAAGTTCTTTCTGGAAGGATAAGAATTTAATAACTAACAATGGTTGTCTCTAAGGAGAGGGACTGACTAGCCAGGGAACAGGGGTGGAAGAGAGGCTTTTCTTTGTATGACATATTACATTTTGTGAATTTTTAATTGTATAAATACATTAAGTTTTTTTCTTTTTTAGTACTTTTTACATTATGTTTTACAACATTAAATAGTAAATCAAAAAATGGACAGAGAATGAAATGGACATTTGCAGAGCAATAAAACCAATTAACCAATAAATACTTGAAAACAGTAATCTTGAAAATGCACGCTCAACTCATTGGCTCATGCCTGTAATTCCAGCACTTTGTGAGGCCAAGGCAGGCAGATTTCTTGAGCATAGGAGTTCAAGAGCAGCCTGGACAACATGGTGAAACCCTGTCTCTACAAAAAATACAAAAGTTAGCTGGGCATGGTGGCACACACCTATAGTCCCAGCTTCTTGGAAGGCTGATGCAGGAGGATTGCATGAACCTGCGAGATCGAGGCTGCAGTGAGCCGTGATCATGCCACTGCACTTTAGCCGCCCTACTGCACTCCAGCTTGGGTAACAGAGCAAGACGTTTCCTTAAAAAAAAAAAAAAAAGAAAGAAAGAAAGAAAAAGAAAAAAGAAAATGCCAATTAAAATAAAAGAAGATATCAGTTTATATCTTAAGTTTAAGTCTGGAATATCAAATATAGCCAAGGACATGGAGAAATAGGTACTCCTATACCCTACTGGTGAGAGTATAAATTACAATAATTTAAAAATATTTAGTAGAATTTAAACGGTGTACTTTCATTTCAAGGTTCTGTAATGATAATGATGATGATGAAAATACTGCTACCAGTAAATAAAAGCTAACATTTCTTGAATGCTTACCATGTGCCAGGCACAGTCCCAAGCATTTTGCGTATTAACTCATTTATATAGAGAAGTATTATTATTCCCATTTTGAGGACAAGTCAACGGAGATCAAGAGAGATTAAGCAATTTGCCCCAAAGGTCATTCAGTAAGTAAATAGTGGAATGGGGACTTGAACCCAGGTAGCCTCTAGAGCCTTCTTACACCCTGTATGATTCTGCCTCTCTAGAGAAAACCTTGCACATGTGCACTCAGAGATGCATGTAACAGTATTAATATTGGCTGGGTGCGGTGGCTCCCGCCTGTAATCCCAGCACTTTGGGAGGCTGAGGCGGGCGGATCACGAGGTCAGGAGATCAAGACCATCCTGGCTAACCCGGTGAAACCCTGTCTCCACTAAAAATACAAAAAATTAGCCAGGCATGGTGGCCGGCGCCTGTAGTCCCAGCTACTCGGGAGGCTGAGGCAGGAGAATGGCGGGAACCTGGGAGGCGGAGCTTCCAGTGAGCCGAGATCGCGCCACTGCCCTCCAGCCTGGGCGACAGGGTGAGGCTCCGTCTCAAAAAAATAAATAAATAAATAAATAAATCCTATGTCAGGGTTTTTCAATGATAGCACTGTTGACATTTTAGGCTGGATAATTCTTTGGTGTGTGGTGGCCCTGTGCACTGTAGGATGTTTACCAGCATCCCTGGCCTCTACCACTAGATTCCAGTAGCACTCCTATCCCCCAGTTGTGACAAACAAAAATGTCTCCAAGCATGACCAAATGTCCCTGGGGGACAAAACCTCTGATGGAAAACCAGTGATCTGTATGTAGTCATATGGCTAGGTCTCAAAACAGTAATGAGTATGTGGTGATTTATATACACTTAGAAACACACAACACTTCATATAGTTTGCAGTTTCCATATATGTGATAGAAGTTTAAACACAAGGCCTGAAAGGATACATACTAAATTTATGGCAGTGTTTGCTTCCGGGAGGAGAGAGAGAAAGAGCGAGAGAGGAATGGAACTAAGAAGAGAACTAAATGGACAGAGGGATTCTCAAATTTTTTTGAGATTAAAATTTAAAAAATTAAATCTGTAATATTTAATTTTTAAAAATCTGAGGCAAACATAGCAAAATGTTTGTATTTGTTAATTCTAGGTTGTGGTTATAAGGTGCTTGTTATATGATTTTCTATTATTTTCTATATTAAGTTTTTCCAAAGTAAAATATTTTAGTTAAAATAGGAAAAATGTTGAAAATGAACAATGGATAGAAATAAAAATAGAAATTCAGAGGAATTCTAAAATAAATTCTAAAATTAAGAAAAAGTTCAACTCCTTTCCTACTACTCAGGAAAATACAAATAATGCGATACAAATACAAAAATGAGATAAACTTTGTACTCATCAGATTGGCAAAATTTTTCAAAAATGTCCAGAGCTGATGAGGATGTGGAAAAATGGGACTCTTCATATGCGGCTGGTTTCAGTGTGAATGGGCACTATCTTTTTCAAAAGCCTCAAGGCAAATGACTTAAAATGCATTTGAACGGTGACTAGAAAGAATATTATAAGAAAAGTAAAATGCACACAGGATTTCAAAAGGGTTTTTAGGCTTCAAGATAAGTCAGGGACGGTGGGGTCGAAATGAAGTCAAGGGACAGCTTACACAGAGATACCCTATAACCAGTCTCCCAACAAGAGAGCTAGATTTTATTTAGTTAAAAATAGAAATTAGAAACAGGAGGTAGTAAAAACAGGGTTTTCTTCCTTTCTTTCTTTTTTTCTTTCTTTCTTTCTTTCTCTCTTTCTTTCCTCCTTCCTTCCTTCCTTCCTTCCTTCCTTTCTTTCTTCCTTCCTTTCTTTCTTTCTTTCTTTCTTTCTTTTTCTTTTTCTTTTTCTTTTCTTTTCTTTTCGAGACAGAGTTTTGCTTTGGTTGCCCAGGCTGGGGTGCAATGGTGCAATCTCAGCTCACTGCAACCTCCGCCTCCCAGGTTCAAGCGATTCTCCTGCCTCAGCCTCCCAAGTAGCTGGGATTACAGGGCTGTGCCACCATGCCTGGCTGATTTTTGTATTTTTAGTAGAGACAGGGTTTCACCATGTTGATCAGGCTGGTGTTGAACTCCTGACCTCCAGTGATCAGCCCGCCTTGGCCTCCCAAAGTGCTGGGATTACAGGCATGAGTCACAGCACTTAGCCATAAAAAAGTTCTGTTTAAAATACCAGAATGATTAAAATGTTTGCTTTCTGTTTGCATGTATATCATCCCATTAAAAATGAGTTTAAAGTTTTCTATAGAGATATATACATGCAAACAGAAAGAAAAAAAAATAGGAGGGCCATCAAAATAAATGGAGCAACAAAGTTCAGTTTATATATAGCAGTCAATATAACATTGGGCTGAATTGCTCAACCAAAGGATCAGTCATGAGATTAAAAACCCCAACAAAATGTAAAGCTCCCTTTCTTCCTTAGAGAAACCCATTAAAACATAGAAGCATAAATCCAGAGATAGTTTAAGGGCTGCTGTGCCTGTGCAGATGGGAGAACCTCATGGTGGTCTCACTCCTCTCCCTCTGCCAGGAGAAACTGCAGTCTCCTAACACCGCGACTCCAACTTAGGAGCAAGGGCAGGGGGAAGAAGCTGAAAAGGCCTGGCCTTCACTTGACTCAGTTATCCAGATTATTTAAATTATTGGATTGGCCGGTGGAATGGTTAATTTTATATGTCAACTTGGCTAGGCCGCGCTACCCAGTTATTTGCTATGGTTATGCTGCTTCTACAATAAATGACATCAGAGAAAAGTGGTTGAGAGAAAAGTGGCAAGAAGAAATAAAAATATGCTTGGGTTTGAGGATCTAAATGCCCCCATCAGAACACATCAGACTATGTAATATTCTTGTACCACAGAAGTACCGTGTCCAGAGCCTAACACAGAGCTCTTGGTAACTCACTCTGGGAAGCGCATTTTAATAAAGGTAACCGCAAACTGGACTGCCTTGAGAGGAGGTCACTTGGATGGCAAGCAGTTTTGAAATCTCATTTCAGGAGGCATGAGGAGGATCTGGTTGGCCCTGAGAGACTCAGGAGTACAGAGTGCTGCCTTCCAGATGCGGGGAGGTTTGTGGTGGATGTCTGTCTCTCCCATGGTCTCAACACTTCTATGCAGATTTCCGCGGGCTGAATTGTGTCCCTCTCACCCACTGCTCCAAACTTGTATGATGAAGCCCTAACTCCAAGAACCTCAAAATGTGACTATATTTGGAAATAGGGCCTTTGAAAGTTGATTAAATTGTCGACAAAGAGTCAAACTCTATAAAATATTCAAAGAGATGTATTTTGAGCCAAATATGGGTGGCCATGGCCCATGACACAGCCCTCAGGAGATCCTGAGAACATGTGCCTGAGGTGGTTAGGGCACAGCCTGGTTTCATACATACATTTTTGGGAGACATGATACTTCAATCAAGTACATTTAAGATGTACATGGGTTAGGTTCAGAAAGGCAGGATGACTCAAAGTAGGGAGCTTCCAGGTTATAAGTAGATTTAAACATTTTCTGGTTGACAGTTGGTTGAGTTTATCTGAAGACCTGGGATCAATGGAAAGGAAATCTCTGGGTTGAGATAAAGAACTGTGGAGAGAAAAGAGAAAAGTTCCTTTTTTTTTTTTTTTTTTTTTGAGACAAGGTCTCACTCTGTCACCCAGACTGCAGTGCAATGGCATGATCTCGACTCACTGCAACCTCCGCCTCCCAGGTTCCAGCCATTCTCCTGCCTCAGCCTCCCAAGTAGCTGGCATTAAGGCATGCACCACCTCGCCTGGCTAATTTTTTGTATTTTTAGTAGAGATGGGATTTCTCCATGTTGGTCAGGCTGGTCTCGAACTCCCGACCTCAGGTGATCTGTCTGCCTCGGCCTCCCAAAGTGCTGGGATTACAGGCGTGAGCCACCGCACCCGGCACAAAGTTCTTAATGTGCAGAGGAAGCCTTCAGGTAGCAGGCTTCAGAGAGAATAGATTATAAATGTTTTTTATTAGACTCAAAAAGGGTGCCAGACTCTTGATTATCTCCTGGACCTGAAAAAAAGGGAAAAGGGGATTCTCTATAGAATGTAGATTTTTCCCCCACAAGAGACAACTTTGCAGGGCAATTTCAAGATATGGCAAGGAAATACATTTGGGGTTAAAATATTTTGATTTCTTTCCTTATTTGTTATGTAATGTTATGCCAGAGCCAGTTTGGAAAGTAGGCCACATTAGGGTTAAATAAAACCCCTCTGATGAGACTTTACGGTTTGTAGGGCATGACTCCCCAGGCCCCTTAGGTAGAAATTTGGGCAAGAGAAGGAAAAAGGTCAGAGTTTAGTCCTCAGAGGTAAAATAAGCCCATCAGAGCAGACCTTTGTCTAATCTGACTGGCGTCTTCATAAGAAGACGAGATTTGGACACACAGAAGGGCACCAGGGATGCTCCACATGAGGAAAGACCTTGTGAGGACTCACTGAGTAGACGGCCATCTGTAAGCCAAGGAGAGCGGCCTCACAGGCAACAACCTTGATCTTGGACTGTCAGCCTCCAGAACTTTGAGAAAATAAATTGCTGTTGCTAGAGCCACCCAGCCTGTGGTACTTTGTTACGGAGGTCCTGGCAAAAGAATACACAGATGAACTCCCATATCACCGCAGAGCCCACCTTCCATCCCCACAACCCCAGTTCTGAGTTTCCAGCTCTTCGCAAGGGATCTCCCAACCCTTACACCTCCTACTGGATGGAGCAGTGCTCATCTCCTCTTCTCTCTATTGCAAACTTCAGTGCAGGCACTCCACAATCCTGCAGCTGCAATGTGAGCCAGTTTAGCCCCTCTGGACTGTGTGTGGGCAATATACACCAAAATTATTTTAAAATGCACCTAAGACCGTTTGGCCCAGTAGTTTCATGTCTAAAAGTTTTCCCTAAGTGAAGCCATCCTCACAGGGTTAACAATAATTCTGGACAGAAATATAATTATAATTAAGCCTTAATCAGACTGCACTTTGACTCACTTCCTTGAAACCAAAAGTCATGTAACACTAGACACTGACCAGTCATATCCCCATTGTTGCTCTAGGTAGGATTTCTGACATAAGAATCAGCCAAGGCAGGAGGATTGCTTGAAGCCAGGAGTTCGAGACCAGCCTGGGCAACAAAGCAAGATCCCATCTCTACAAAAAAAATTATTAATTAAAAAAATTTTTTTAAAGAATTGCTTAAGCAGATCCTGAATTTTAGTAGAACAGCTGATGACAACTAGTTTAAGACCTCCACAAAGGAACTGTTTTCTCAACTTGATAATACAGCTTCTTCATCTCCTTGTCCCATGACTTCACCCTGCACTCTTCAGCCAGTCACTTTGGCCAACTCCAAAATCTTTAAAATCTCTAGCTCCAAATTATTTGGGGAGATGGATTTGAAGTTCCCTTCCATGTCCTCATTTGGCGGCCCTACGATTAAACCTCTTTCTCTGCTGCAACCAGGTTTCAGCTTACTGACTTTCTGTGCCTGTTGGGCAACAAATCTGTTATGGTTACATAAGGAAGTAATCAAAAGCATATATAGTCAGAGAAAAGAAACCAGAAGGATAACTTATTTGTTCATTACAATGGATACTTATTACTATGTGACAGGCATAATTCTAGGCACTTTTATTACAGTGAATAAAGTATACAGAAGCCCCACCCACTGAGAGCCAGGCAGTAAATCAGCTAACCAAATGAATCATACATTAGGAGGAAATTTTTTTTTTCACATTAAGGTTCTAAGGAGGAAATAAATATTATGGAGGAAAAAATAAAGCAGAAAGGGAGTATGAAGAGCAGTCGATATGGTTCCAGTTTTCAATAGAGCTGTCAAAATAGGCTTGAGAAGGTGAAAACTGGCATCAACTTGCAGGCAGTTAACAGTAAGGTGCCAATAGTTGTTATTGCTGGTTGGTGAAATTATGGGTAATTATATTCTTTTATACTTTTCTGTGCTTTCCAAATGCAGCACAATTAACATATTTGCTTTTACAATTAAAAAAATCCCACAATAAATGTTACTTAAAAAAAAAAACTGACACCTTCAGTTGTTCCCCATTTTCTACAGAATAAAGTCCAACTCGTCCTCCATTGGCCTCTTCCCTTTCATCTAAACTTATCTTTCATTCCTTAACTGTCTTTTCCAGTTGGCCTGATACCCTGTGACCCAGATTTGCCAAACAGGGTTGTCAGATTTAGCAAATAAAAGTACAGGACACCCAGTTAAATATGAACGTCAGATAAACAATGAATAATGCAATATTTGAGACATACTAAAAAACTACTTGTTGTACATCTGAAATTCAAGTTTAACTGAGCATCGTATGTTTTTCCTGACAATGTGACAAGTGATCTTCCTTCCCCTGTGCTGGAATAATCTCTTTTCCATCTTTCCAAATTTTTCCAGCTAATCAGAGGGTGGGGAGGAGGGATGGATGTGGGTGGGAATGAGAGATAAGCCTGCCTATCAACTCCTGTATTTAATATAGGATATTCCTGGGGGCCAGGTGTGGTGGCTTATGCCTGTAATCCCAGCACTTTGGGAGGCCAAGGCGGGTGGATCACCTGAGGTCAGGGGGTTCAAGACCAGCCTGGCCAACATGGTGAAACCTTGTCTCTACTAAAATACAAAAATTAGCTGGATGTGGTGGCGCATGCCTGTAGTCCCAGTTACTCGGGAAGCTGAGGCAGGAGAATCACTTGAACCTGGGAGGCAGAGGTTGCAGTGAGCCGAGATTGCACCACTGCACTCCAGCCTGGTGACAGAGTGAGACTCCTCACCAAAAAAAAAAAAAAAGAAAAAAAAAGATATTCCTGGGGAGTAGATGGGTGGTGGAGGGCGGGGGAACAAGGGTGGGGTATTGTTAAAACATCGTAAAAGGGCTCCTTTTTTGATCTTGAATTATGACTTTCCTATAGATAAAAATTGCACCTTTAATCAGAGAACAATGGCCCAGGTGTCAGGTATAGGTGAAAGTCCAAAGTTCTCTTCAGAAAAGAAACTCTATTTTAGTTATACAGAACATTTATTCAAATCTTCCACTATTTAATTTATGTAAAATATCCTAGTCAATGTTTTTAACCCGAGTGTTTTTAAACATTGCTTTTTAAAAAATAAAAAACTTTTAAAATATTGAACCATTTACGGGGGCTTTAAAAACAGACAGCTTTTGTTCCAAATGAGGATGCCTCTCCTTCCGTTTGTCTGACCTACCCTTTGCCCCCATGGTCCCCTACTCCATTTATTAGCTCCACAGAGACCTGACAGAACCTTAAAGTTGATCCCTGAGTCAGACTGGGCCTGTCTCAAGGTCAGCTCACATCTGAAATCAAGCCTCTGCTGAGTCTGTGGAGTAAAAGGCTGATACTCCCTTCTCTCCTGCAAGACAGCTGTGTGCTCTGGCCCAGAGTGGGCACAGAACTGCTGGGCCCAGGCTGTCAGAAACTTCTGGGCTGGCATCCAGCTGCTCCAATGCACAAAGCCAGCTAACGCAGGCCAACCATGCCAGTGAGTCCACATTACAGAAGGACGGGAAGCAGTGGGATGCGGTACCCAGGGGTAGCAGTCTAATCCCTCCCAAAGCCAAATTCTAGAAAAATTTTCCAAATTTAAAAAATGGAAAAGGGAAAAATGGAAAATGGAAAAAATTTTAAATTTAATTTTCCAAATTTAAAAAATGGTAAAAGCTCTTACCCATGGCCATAGTTTTTCATCTTGACATCCTCAGCACTTACCATGGTACCTGGCACAAAACAGCTAATTTTTCAGTTGCCATACTGAACAGCCATTGTATACAGGCTCTCTATATTCCAATGACAACAATCTTTAGGCAACATTGTTAAGTGACAGAACAGTGTTTAGTATGCAAAACTTTGCTTAATAAAGGGGAGAAATACCAATATATATAGTTGTATTTAACTTCTATTTACATAAAGAAACATTGAAAGGATACGCAGAAAACTAATAAAAGTGTGTACCGGTGGGCCAGGGACGGGGGTAGTGGTAGGTGGAATGAATGAAGAAGGGCAAGGTGGTCACAGTCCTACTTAATCTATACCTTTTAATATATTATTTTTTGAGCCAAGTGTATGTATAACCCTTTAAGTTACATAGTTAAAATCATCTATTTTTGGTTATATAATTTTGTAGTAGCAAAAAACTCAACTGAAAAATAGGAAGCTATTCTCTCCATTTCTCTCTGTGGTCACATAGCCGCTCACGTTTAATTCTTTCTAAGCTCACAGATTGACCAACACAGCCACCATACTTGAGTTTCCATGACTTTATAATTCTAGTGCCCATCACTGTCTCAATCTAGATTTCCTTTTCCCCAAAAAAAATCTGCTACGTCACTTGCTATAATTTCTAGCTCTCTGCCAAATGTTTCACACATAGCTTTTATCCTTTTGAAGATAGCATATACATTGTTATATAGTCTATGCCCAATAACCCCAGAGTCTGGAAGCCCCATGGGTCTGATTCTGTTGTCTGTTTTTATTTTTGTTTTTTTTTCTTTTCTTTTCTTTTTGAGACAAGGTCTGGCTCTACGGCCCAGGCTGGAGTACAGTGGCATGATCTCAGCTCTTTGCAACCTCTGCTTCCCAAGCGCAAGCCGTCCATCCACTTCAGCCACCCTAGTAGCTGGGACTACAGGTGTGCACCACCACACCCAACTGACTTTTGCATTTTTTGTAGAAACGGAGTTTCACCATGTTGTGCAGGCTGGTCTTGAACTCTTGAGCTCAAGTAATTCCCCAGCCTCAGCCTCCCAAAGTGCTGGTATGGCAAGCATGAGCCACTGCACCTGGCCTGTTTCTGCTTTTCTTATGGCAATCTCGCCTCTCTGGGGCTTGATTATTTTTGCTTGTTTGCTAGATGCATTTGAGGCCTAGGATGCTATTATCTTCTTCCCAGAATGATTGTTTTTGACACTAGCAGTTTAGAGTCACTTTGAACAAGTTCAATGGTTACTTGAGATTCTCTGGGCTGGGACACCATTTCTACTCCCTTTAAGCCTTTAAAGGCTGCCAAAAATGCAGCTTGGATTCTTAAACTCTCTTCAGCAAATGCTCCCAGAACAGAAGCGACCCCAGTTGCAGGCTCACCTCCATGTTCCTTTCCTTTCCCAAATTTTGGCCCAGCAATTCCTCACTAACCTTTGAATATTTAAGTAAGATACTTAAAAATATTTTACCCAGCATTTTTAGTTGTCTTCAAATGGAGGCTTGGTCTGAATTACTCAGTCCATTAATGGAAGCAGAAGCCCTTCTGATGCAGGCCTTAGTTTTTCAGTAGTTTGCTCTTCTCTGGGCCTTAGCTTTCAGAAAGATTCTCTTGTCTGTAGTAGTAAAGTCTGTATAAAGTCTGCATGGACTTTTCTTGCGTACACACATTGCCACATCACCTCCAGTCAAGGCTGGAAGAGAATCTTGCATTTTACACATCTAATATTTCAGAAGAGCTGGAGTCACAGCAGTCCTCTTCACTGAGCTCAGAAACAAAACCCTGCTTGTGCATATATTCAGGCTGGGACCTCTAAAATGCAGACACCTAAGTGCTCCAGCTTTGAGAATTCTAGCTTCAGTGTGACAACGGCATAAGGAGTTGCCCTACGGTGTAAAGGCCCCTGTGAGGTCTCAGTTTGCAGACCAGGATGTGACAAGGAGATTGGAGCTGCAGTCAGCTCTAGAGGCCGAAAGAGGAGCCAAACAGCAAACAGAGGTGCCAAATGCTGCCTTAGAAATCTGTAAGCCAGCTAAGAGTTCTGCAGTCTCAACTAAACAAAACTTTTTTATTCCATTGGTTTGGGGTGTACTGTTCTTAGGGCTTTTGCCAACTGAATTGGTCTGTGGTGTCTTGAAAGATTGGGGGTCTGCACGGAAAAGGCTCGGAGGCCAGTTCTCTGAGGCTGCCTTTGTTGCAGGAAATAAAATGAATCTTTCCAGAGCCACAGCACTAGCATTTGGAGACCACTCTCAGGGGCTTTGGGGCGTACGACTTTCGGGGCTCTGGTCCTCTGTTTCCCTATCCGTAGAATGGAGACGGCTACTCTGTGAGAAGCCCGAGGTGCGCAGGACCCAAGTGAGGAGCCGGCAACCTGAAGTCCTCAGGATGGGGAGGGATCCGAAGGAGGCGGTGTGAAGACTCAAGAGGACCGCCTTGGGGTGGGAAGAGGACAGCCCGGCACTGGCTGCTGGCCCAGGTGCTGTGATGGGTTTCGTGCGCAGAGAGGCCTGACAGCCTCTGCATCAGTGACCGGGCGAAGAGTGGGGCAGCTCGGACGGTGGTTGGGGAACGTTAGGGAGATTGGCGCGCGGACCACTGGGTGAGCGCCCAGGAACGCCGGACGCGCGCCTTCACGCCCGGGTGCCTGGCGGCGTTTTAGAAAAGCTGTATTTGAAAAGCAACCGATTGGGGTGAAGGCGGGGGAGCGGAATCCTGATTACACTGTCCCAATTTCAGTTGAGGTGGGCTTTTAAAAGAAATCCCAATTCACACATTCGATCAGGTTAGTTACAAGAAAGGCTGGGAGGAGGTGGGGCTGGAAACACCAGAGGGCCCAGATGTCCGTTGGCGACGGTCTTCTGCAAACGACAGAGCGCAAGCCTTGCCCCTGGAATTCTAGAGCCGCCGCAAAGATAGGAACTCAAAACGACCCGAGCCCCGGAGCCGCAGCCCCTCGGGACGGTCACGAGCAGAGCTCCCAAGGGGACCGCTGGGGACTGGGCGGGGGCTCTGCTTCTCACCTGTTCCTTCTCTATCCACTGAGCCCTGACACGTAGGACCAGCGCTACTAACAGACTTGTTTTCCGGTTCAGCTCCCCTTAGGGCTCCTGTTGGAAACCGACCCTATCTGGGGAGCCTGTCTGGGCCACTCCCATTGCCGGAGAACTCTCCTGGGGCGGGGAGATGGCCCAGGTTTGTGGGGCTTGAAAGCTTACACAGTGTTGTGTCTTTTCAAGAAAAAGGATACAGCCGGGCACGGTGGCTCACGCCTGTAATCCCGGTACTTTGGGTGGCCGAGGTGGGTGGATCACGAGGTCAGGAGATCGAGACCATCCTGGCCAACATGGTGAAACCTCGTCTCCACTAAAAATACAAAAAATTAGCTGGGCATAGTGGCATGTGCCTGTAATCCCAGCTACTCGGGCGGCTGAGCCAGGAGAATCTCTTGAACCAGGGAGGCGGAGGTTGCAGTGAGGCAGTGAGCCAAGATCGTTGCCACTACACTCAGGTCTGGCGACAGAGCAACACTCCGTCTCAAAATAAAAAAATTAAAAAAAAAAGGAAAGAAAGAAAAGAAAAAGGATACAGAATTTGACAAAATTAAGAATAAAAGCAAATATGACTTACAATGAGGAAAAACAATGACAGCAAATGATAAATGTTTAAAAACTGACATATCACAAACATCAAAAAATCCCCCCAAAATTCTAATAACTGCTTGAACCACCCCTATATTTTCCCATTTATATTTTTTGATTCCCTCTTCATTCGACAACACTTTTGTAATGTATTTTCCTGGGTGAGAATGAATAATTTGGTATTTCGTCTAGCATAGTTAAGCAAAAAAAGTTTTTATTGAAAGTTTAGAAAAGTTAATATCCATTTCACAATCGTTATTGGTAATAATATGCAAATTTTTAGTGCTATTAATTTTGGAGAAGCCTCTGTGAAGAGTTTCCTATGTAAGCCTGAGATTTCAGGGCATTTCAAGTTTTCTTGGGCAGTGACTAATCTTAAATACTCTTTTAAGTTGCTGAAAGTCATTGGCCTGTTTTTCGTTAAGTCCTTGTTGTAAAGGTGTAGTATGAAACTGTTTGTAGATGTCAATATTTTATGCCAAAACAACAAGTTTTTTAAGTTTTAATGTGTTTATGTGGTTAATTCTTCATCAAGTGATTGTCAAACAATCTAGGCATCTATTCTATTTAAAATGTATCCCTTCCCTTCAATAAATTGCTGGTTTTGGCTGGAACCAAACTTTTTTTCTTCTTCCAATTCCTTTTCTGATGTCAGAATAACTTCTATTAATTTCATGTGCAAATATGCAAGAGATCATTTTATTTCATGATGTATGTATAATTGTATATGCATATTTAATAAGTATATTCCTAAAGAAGAGAGCTTCCATTTTGACTAGACTTTGATGAGACTGAGTAATACGCTTATAATTTTCTACATCTAGGGGTTAAAAGGATTTATTGGCTTCACTGTCCACAGACTTCTGGTGCCTCATGTCACAGCACACATTCTTATTGTGACAGATCTCTGACCTTTCACTTTAGTCTCTGATGTCAGGTGAGTTATCTCAGTGGGTGGTGGTTCCTGTAAGCCACTTCTACACTGAGACGGGTAGCAATAACTTGACTATACATGAAAGTGCTTATGAACCACATATCCTAGTAATCTCAAACAATGTAATCCCAACTTAATTTCCCCTTAGCTAGAACCCCCACATGCTACCTGATACAAGAGAAACTGTGACAGAGGGAAGTTGACGTGGAAGGAGACAGTAATCCTAACCGTGGTTAAAATATGTTACTTTTGCAAATTTTACAAAACACTTAGCATGACCATATTGAACACATTGCTTGGAATTCCAGGGTCTTGGAAAGAACCAGTGCAAGGGATGAACTTAATGGCAGAGCTTCCTCTGCACACTTCACGACTGCAACAGGCTTGTCCCTGAAGTCTCTCCGCTGGGGTCCCACTTCAGGCTGACGTACTGTCTGTGTCACCGAACATCACTCTCTGCATTTGCTTACCCTTTTTGATTCTTCCCTGTGCCTCAGTTTGGAGTTGGAAGCTCATAAATTCCCCTATTATAGGGAAGTGGCTGATTGTGTAACCCTATCCTTTTGTTGAAATAGGTGTGTCCAGTTAAGTATTTACTGTAAACCAGCCCCTCATACGCATTCCACTGGGGGTGGATTCATTGCTTTCTACAACCTCGCCATATGTAATGTCCACACTGGTCCATCTGGCTGTGCTTCTCAAGATCAGCTGTTTTGTAGGACTTGAAATAAGGATTCCTTAACAACCTGGTGAATGCCTAATAGCCTCAATACATTTCAGGCTGTTTTAGTTTTGTTTATTTGGTTTTCGTGTTTTGTGGTGAGAACACTTAAAATCTACTCTCTCAGCAATTTTCAAGAACACAGTGTACCATTACTAACAAATCACCAGAAGGTACAACAGATCTCTTGAAGTATTCCTCCTTGAAGTAACTGAAACTTTGTATCCTTTGACCAACCCATCCCCATGCCCACCACGCCCAGACTTTGGTAACCACCATTGTATTAATACTGTCTGCTTCTACCAGTTAACCTTTTTACACTCTAAGTGAGGTCATGCTGTATTGGAGGTTGTTTCCTCCACGCGACTGGGTGGAATTCAGAGGTTCCTACCAATAACTCATTTCTTTCACCAGCAGCTCCCAAGGGCTCTGCTGAGTCCCCCATGCCTCCTGAATCTGAGATCTTGAACCCCTGCTCCTCCCCAACCCTGTTTTTCTGAGAACTGCCTCATCAAACATAGAGCATAGCAACTTTCCTGAGATTTCTCTAAATTTCCTCTTATTCAGGTCACTGTGCATGACAGATTGACTGCTTGATTCCTGGAAGTCTAGGGATAAAAAGTATTGAGTGCTGGTCTAAAGGACAGGTTTCAGCAGAGGACACAATCTCAGAGCAGACAACTTAAGTTTCAGTATTAGGCATTTCCGTTCTTAAACATTCCTTCACTATTTCTGCCCAAGACATTTCTCACTGGTAAACTTTCCTTGTTGGTTACCTGCCTTCTGCAGCCCTGCAGGCTCTGTCTCTCTCCTGGGCCACCCCTCTTCCTCTTACACAGTTTTATGCTCCCCTTCCCTTCTCTTTCCTTCCATCTTCAGTCTACATATTTCACGGCTAGCTTTCCACAGCCAGATGTTTCTTGCCCTGAGGAATTATGCTATCAGTTTTTAAGCCACCGTTTAAAAGACGGTTGCCAGTGCCCTAGAGTCTTGGCAACAATGCTCCACCTTCCGGAGGTGAAGCGAAATGGTGTCCTGTCTTGAAAGACAGCGCCACCTACTGTCCATCAAGAGACAGCTGCCGAAAACAGCTGAATGACCCTGTTCATTGCCTGTTCTGGGGAGGGTGGCAGATAATCCAGGCAAGAATAATTCGAAGGTACATTGAACTTGAGGTGGTGATGGAACACTTAAGAATGCACAGAAGTTTAAACTCAATAGGGATAGTAATACCAAGCTGGCATCGGGCCTCAGGGAGGTTACAGGATCTGCATAGTGCTAACAACTGTGCATCGGTAGAATGGGAATCTGAATCCGGACACTCCGCCTGTGAAGTCCACGTAGCTCCACCTCGCTGCACTAAGATAGAGTAGATCTCCTTTTATGGATGATCAAATAAGTGAGAGGGAACCCAGGAGCCAGTGGAGAGGAGAATTTTAAGGAGGGGACTGCTGATGATCTAAAGTTTGAGTCATCAGTTTGGATGTGAACTGAGAAAATACCGCTGGGATTTGAGTTTAGGACTTAGTTGGAGACCCTTAGAGAGTGGTTTAGGGTGCCCAGCCCTGGGATAGGCATAGGAGAGTATGGAAAGACAGAAAGACATAGTCCTATCCCTCATGAAGCTAAATGTGAGCCAAAGCCAGGGAAGTTGGCAAAAATCAAATGGTAATAAATGAGACGGTGATTTAGGAAAGAGAGATCCATGTAGAACCTGCAGGCCCCTCTGACACCTTTGTGAAAATTAGGATGGATCAGTTCACTTTCTTGGGGCCATTGCTGCCCTGAGCCAGAGCCCACAGCTTGGCAAGCAACCTCTGGGCTAGGTCTCAGCCCCCATTCATCAGAATGAAGACTGACTTGTTAGGAAAGTTTCATTCAGGAAACTGGGACTTGAGCTGGGCTTCCACTGATGTGAAGGGTTTGGAGCAGCTGTGTGAAAGAGGTAGGAGTTAGGTCTTCCCTGCTGGGAAATGTCAAAACAGAGGCAATTAAGAGTCATAAAGGAGAGAGAGAAGACAAAAATCACCTGACTCTTGGCTCCAGTATTTTTAAAGCATGAGAAATTAGATAAGATCACTCCTTTAAAACAGTTACTGAGCACCTAATATATTCAAGGAGCTATGCCGAATAGGCTGACTCAGGGAAATAAGGACCCTGACAGTTGCGCATTAGTTTGTAGTTTATGAAGCACATCCATTTCCAGCTATGACATTTTGTCCACTTTCTTGTAAAGGAGGCTGAAGTTGTGGCTGCCCCTGAACATGAAGCTACAAATCTCCACAATTAGGACCATAATCCAGATTCTTTGACTAGTCCAGAATTCCTTTCATTCTGACCATCCTCTTCTTAAACATTTTAAAATTTAGGTAATTGTTTAGATAGATGGCACATTTGCTGGCTCAAAATTTTAAAAACACAGGAAAAAGTCTCCCTCTTGCCCCTGGTTTCCACACATCTAGTTTCTCTCTCCAGAAGCAAATTTTACTAGTTCATTGATATATTCTTCCAGAGATGTTCTTTGCATAAAAAGCAAATAAGAATATTTATTCTTCCCCGATTTGTGCAAATAATAGCATATTATACACACTGTTCTGTACCTTGCTTTTAAATTTAATTTATTTTTATTTTTTAAAATCAGTAATCTATGTGTCCAAAGCATAAACCAGGCATGGGCATAGACCAGAAGCCAAGCTGGGATAAACAGGGGGTTGCTTTGTTCCTGTCTGATGTGAGATGGGCACCATTAAGCTTTTTTTTTTTTTTTTTTCGAGACAGAGTCTGGCTCTGTCATCCAGGCTGGAGTACAGTGGCGCAATCTCGGCTCACTGCAAGCTCCACCTCCCGGGTTCACGCCATTCTCCTACTTCAGCCTCCCGAGTAGCTGGGACTACAGGCACCCGCCACCATGCCCGGCTAATGAGACAGGGTTTCACCATGTTAGCCAGGATGGTCTCGATCTCCTGACCTCGTGATCCACCTGTCTCGGCCTCCCAAAGTGTTGGGATTACAGGCGTGAGCCACCATGCCTGGCCAAAGC